>NC_000020.11:3399668-3551183 GCF_000001405.40 Homo sapiens | reverse complement strand
GAGCATAGTATTCTAGGTGTTCCTGGGTAAGACAGCTCCAATCTGCTGAGAGAATTCTTCAGAGAAAGGGTCAGCTATGAACTGACAACAGCCAAATTGCACAGCATCAGGTGACTGGGTGCACTGCACCAGCCAGGTAAAGATAAACAGATCTGGGCAAGGCACCAACAGTGTCCACCACAGAAGAAGCAGGGTGGAATGTGGAACGTTTAGAAATGAGATTATGGAGGGGCTGCAGTTATTGATAATGACACAGTCTAAGAGGTGCCCACACAAATGACTTGCTGAGGTAGAGTCTGGAAAGAGCATGAGCCCCTGAACAACTCTGGGGCTTCCTCTGGGTTGTCCAGCCAAGAAAGAATAGACCCTGACAGGTCTCTTTCCCCCCAGAGGGAAGGGGGATGTGTAAGAAAAGCTCTGTAGAGATCCAATCTCCTACGAGATCTCTGGGTGCCACCTGTGCCACTCCTAGGGCTGGCAAACAGCTCTTCTGATGAAAAACATGAAAATGCCTAAAATCTGTGTACCTAAAAACTGTAATAAGATGTGACTTTAAATTCATATTCAGGAAAGCATTTGTTTTCCAGGCAAAGAAAATAGTTTGAATCTATGTATGGGGAAAGAAAAGAACCTGGAGGAAATCTACTAACCTGACCTGACCACTGCAGGAGTCTCATCAGAAATTAAAGGGCTCGAACAAAGGCAGCAGCAATGGGAATAGAGATTGGGCCAGTTCAATCCTACACAAAAAGAACGAAGCTGGAGGCAACAGGTTACCCGACTTCAAACTATACTCCTGGGCTACAGTAACAGTAACAGTAACAGCATGGCACTAGTACAAAAACAGATACATAGACCAATGGAACAGAATGGAGAGCCCAGAAATAAGGCTTCACACCTACAACCATCTGATCTTCAACCTCTGTCTCCCAGGTTCAAGCAATTCTCCCATCTCAGCCTCCTGAGCAGCTGAGACTACAGGTGCCGGCCACCGCACCTGGCTAATTTTTGTATTTTTAGTAGAGATGGGGTTTTATCCTGTTGGCCAGGCTGGTCTCAAACTCCTGATCTCAAGTGATCCGCCAGCCTCAGCCTCTGAAAGTGCTGGGGTTATAGGCGTGAGCCACTGCGCCTAGCCTGACCAAGTTTTATTATAGATGTTGCTCATGTTTCTCTGATTTTGCTAGACTAGTTGTGTGATGTGTTTTAATGACTATGTTTGGGGGGATGCAGAAACTAGGCCACCACTGCCATATTTCCAGAATCCCTTAATGAACAGATGCTGGGTTTTTTGACAATCTTCATTAATAGAAAATGCCTAGAAAAAAGTTCCAGGTAATAAAATCAGCAAGATTAAATGTTTATAAATTTTTTTCTACAAGTCCACCTCCATAGCTAATTCCACTATGACAACACATATTCTCCCTTCAAAATGAGCAGCACGAGATTAGCAAATAGACCTTGAAGCCTGGGACATAGTAGACAATGGTATAATTTCCACTAGCAAACTATAAATTCAAACCATTTGACCTTGGAACTATTAATTAAATTAAAAGATAAAATAATCCCCTACTTATATAGAACTTACTACATATACTTAAAGCAAAACATCAGAGACAGTATTTGAAAAGAGGTGAATGCTTATCATGACAATGAATTTTTTGTAGCATTCAATTTTAAAAACTCAACATATGTCAAAACACTTTGAAAGACTACTACCAAAATATTAACAGGGATTTTCTTTAGGTAGTAGAATGACTGGTGATTTATTTTTGCTTATCTGTGCTTTATAAATTTTCAAAATAAAAAACTAAGCTTCTTGCAAAAATGTTTAAAACGACTTACGCTAGAACCATGTTATAATCTGAGTGGTTGAACATATATCCTCCAACAACCCACATAATGTTTCCATTGACCACAGCTTTATGAGATGCTCTGGGGAGCTTTAAGTTAGAATATTCCTCTCGAGTCCAAAATGACTGGTTAGCTGGTACAGGAACTGAACATCCAGGACCTAATAAAAACATAATGAATTAGCTTCACAAAAGACAGCTTTAAAGCTTACTGCATTTCAAGTTTTAATTATCTAAATGTAACAAATATTTAAATAATAGTCTTTCCTTTAGCATTTAAATATCAGACAAATCCTTTAATTTGTTATTTTAATTTATTCAGGGTATTGACCAAGGGTAAATCACATACTTTCTAATGATGACTTGACTATATCCAGGTTAGGGTTTTTTTGGTAATGAAATACCTGCTTAAGCAACTCTCAGGAGAAAGCACAGATAAATAAATAATTAACTCACATGAAAAATCTTAAGGATAAAATATACAGTTATCCCTCAATATCCACAGGGGACTGGTTCCAGGATGCCCTTGGTACCAAAATCCACAGATGCTCAAGGTCCCTAATATAAACTAGTGATGTAACACTTGCATATAACCTACACACATCCTGCCATATACTCTAACTCACCTCTAGATTACTTATAATACTTAACACAATGTAAATGCTATGTAAATGGTTGTTTTCATATGCGTATCTTTTATTTGTATTATCTTTTTTTTTTTTTTTTTTTTGAGATGGAGTCTGGCTCTGTTATCCATGTTGGAGTGCAGTGGTATGATCTCGGCTCACTGCAACCTCCACCTCCAGGGTTCAAGACATTCTCCTGCCTCAGCCTCCCAAGTAGCTGGGATTACAGGTGCCTGCCACCATGCCCACCTAATTTTTGTATTTTTTAGTAGAGACAGGGTTTCACCATGTTGGCCAAGCTGGTCTCGAACTCCTGACCTCAGTGAGCCGCCTGCCTTGGCCTCCCAAAGTGCTGGGATTACAGGCATGAGCCACCACACCCAGCCTGTATTATCTTTTATTGTGTTTTTTTCCTGAATATTTTCTACACATGGTTGTTTGAATTTGTAGATGCAGAACTTGTGGATATGGAGGAATAAGTTTGATAACTAGACCCGGGAGCAATCATACAAACTATCCATCTTCTGGTAAATCAAAAAACTTAAACAAATTGAAGAAACAGACTCCATTCTTGGGAGGTTTGGCTTCTGCTGCAATATTTGCACAATGGTAGATACTGAAATTCTTCAATTATTAACTCTAAAATGTCAGCCAAACCCAACAAACTAAGGTATTTAAACCAGCATATTTCCTTTCAAAGTAAAAAGGTTCTGAGGAAGGGGTAAGTTTACAAGAAAAATCACCAAATTAATAACAGTTATTATCACTCACCCCTTAAATAATTCCCTAAAGCTTCTTTAATTATTTCTGTAGATAACTATTAGCTAACTCCTTTAAGATTCTAATGTATAACTGACACCAATTTTCTCTGAACTTAGAGTGTGTTTCTGAGGAAATATCATTATTGTCAGCTCTTGTCCCATCTCCCAGCTTGGCTCTCTGCTACATCCTTTTATGACTGAGTCCAAGTTCTCCAACTTTCACACACAGGATGCAAAAAATGGCCAACCCTCCATAATTCTAAAGACCATGACCACACATGTATGAAACCGAAATTCATAAGCAGCTAGATAGAGGGATGTTTCAAGCTTAAATGCTACCTCGTATTTGATTAATATAAATTATATAGGTGCTAAGAATAAAGTCAATCTATAATTTATTTAGTGGGAATGTTCTATAAATGGAAGAAAAAATAAAAATGAAAGAAGCTCCTACCCTGCCAGTCTGAGAAGCAGGAGCATCCTCTGACATCACTTGAATTGCAGATGCCTCGATGAGGAAAACCACAGTTGTCTGTACAGTGAGGAATGTCACATGCTTCACCTTTCCAGTTTTCAGAACATTCACATTCAACAGTATCGCTGCTATTACTGATCTTACACTCTCCTCGGCCTGAGCAGTTATTTGGACACATATCAAAACTGTAAAAATAGCAGGGAAAATTACATTAACACAACGCAACGCTTCCATTAACTTAGCATAACTTCCTCCCACACAAGTTTAAGAATCTCACTGTCTCAGTTCATTCACAAGTGTAACTGCAGTACTTAAGGATTCAGTCCAAATGGGTTTGCTCAACACTGCATAGCTAGAGCCCGAGGTACAAGTAATGAAATCAAATCAACCCTGCTGGATTCTCATAATAAGAGGATAAGAATAAATAACTCATAAAGTCAAAGAAATTAAAGGAGGTAGGAGATTTGTGCAGAACTGTTAGCTCCTCATGGGTGGGAGGACTATCCTATTCTTCTTGGTAGCCTCCTAATGATGAGCTTTACAGAGTTGCTGAATTCATGCTTGGAAGTCTGGGAAGGAAAAGAATAAAACAAACTGCCAACAATAAACTACCATCCTCATGGTACATATTCCTCTGTACACTCTCTGAAAATTTGTATTTAATAGAATTTAAGGTTACTGCCCAGATTGGTATATTTAAAATTCCTTAGTAATTTTATCTACTCATTTCAGATGGAAGAAGGCAGGCTAGTTTAACTTAATGTAAGAATTGAACTATGGCCAGGCGCAGTGGCTCACGGCTGTAATCTCAACACTTTGGGAGGCCGAGGTTGGCGAATCACGAGGTCAGGAGTTCAAGACCAGCCTGGCCAACATGGTGAAACCCCGTCTCTACTAAATATGCAAAAAATTAGCTGGGCGAAGTGGTGGGTGCCTGTAATCCCAGTTACTCAAGAGGCTGAGGCAGGAGAATTGCTTGAACCCAGGAGGTGGAGGTTGCAGTGATCCGAGATCATGCCACTGCACTCCAGCCCAGGTGACAGAGTGAGACTCCGTCTCAAAAAAAAAAAAAAAAAAAACAGTTGAACTATAACGCATCTCATAATAATATAATTGTACTGACAGTGCTTTGAAACAATGTAATTCAGAATTTAAAAGGGGGGATAAATGGACTATCAAGGTACTTTAATGAGTATAGATTTCTTCTACTATCGAGTACATGACAACTACTAATATTTGTGGAGCTGTACTTTGTAAAATTCCAACGTTTTTGTCCATTAGCAGAAAAGTCCCTCTCTTCTAGAAGTTCAACAGCATCAACACCTGGGTTTAAATTGTGGTCCCACCAGTTACTTTGACAATCTACTAACCTTTTCCTGCCAGTTTCCTCAATTATAAATAAGCAGAAAAACAGAGCCCAGACCTCACTGAATTTATGGAAGAATTTTAAATGAGAAAATCCATGTAAACTGCCTGACGCTATGCCTGGCTCTCAATCTATGTTAGCCATTATTGTTGTTAAAACATAGTAGATAGTCTCCTGAATGAAATCACAAATACTAGACTTAAGTATCTTACCTGTAAGTAATATTAAATCCAGTCAAATTATAAGCAGCATCACTAAAAAAATGCAGCAAGGCATAACCTGATGTGGCAACAACCTCAGGGACAGTCTCATTGCCATCTCTCTCAGGAACAATGAGGCCACTGAAATGAAAACACACTTCTTATAGAGGGAAGCACAAGCACAGACATGTCAAATTGTAGCAGACAGAAATTAAAAACAAATCCGTCCTTAAAATTTAAAAACCACATCCAGGAAGACAGGCAAATTCCTGTGATAAACACACAGTGCTACCCTATCAGTTCTGGATCCTTGAGGAACAGATCTGAATCTTTTGCTAGGCTTCCTTTATTCTGAGTTGTATTTCTAATGAGATTTGAAATCAATGGCCCTATTCTTTTTCTTATAAAACTTTTTATACTGCTTCTTTGAAAAAATAAACCTCCACAATCACATAAAGTAACAAATTTTATGAGTGATGAATACCACACATATATTGCTGAAAGACATGAGGTTTTTGTTGTTTTTTTTTTTTTTTTTGAGACAGAGTTTCGCTCTTGTTGCCCAGGCTGGAGTGCAGTGGTGCAATCTCAGTACAATCTCTGCGTCCCGGGGTTCAAGCGATTCTCCTGCATCAGCCTCCTGAGTAGCTGGGATTACAGGTGCCCACCACCATGCCCAGCTAATTTTTTATAGTTTTAGTAGAGACAGCATTTCATCATGTAGGCCAGGCTGGTCTTGAACTCCTGACCTCAGGTGATCCACCCACCTCGGCCTCCCAAAATGTAGGGACTACAGGCGTGAGCCATTGTGCCCAAGATATTTTATATAAAATATTTATATAAGAATACGAAGAAGCTAAACAAACACCCATAACTCCAACACTGTTAGTATTCTGATGCATTTTCTTAGCCTAATTGATGTTATTTACATTGTATATTCCATTTTACAAATAAAACTTAACGCATTTTCTATATCATTAAAAGCTCCCTAGGTTCTTCTTAAGACCTCACTCACAACCCAGCACATGACGGATTCTAAATGTTTGTTGTGTGACTGGTAAAAAAAAAAAAAAAAACCTTACTGAGTAAAAGGGTCTAAATGATGCCTTTAAGACTCTAGAGCCATAATACCAACTTGCTTTCCAGAAGAGATATGTGATTTGAAATCGTATCAATACAGAATGAAGGGTCCATCCCACTTCACTCTGCCAACAGCAAGGACTACTAGTTCTATTTTAATTTTGTTAATTTAATAAGTAAAAAGCAATTTTTAAATTGTGGTTCTGAGTTCTTTTTACTCCTGAGGTTAATTGTTTTTCTTATGTCTACCTGCTGTTGCATTTCTTCATATGTCCATGATTTTTGCCCCATTATTGATTCACCACCACCACCACCACCACCACCACATTTGGTAAAAGCCTATATCCTTGCCAGGCCCTACGCAATCTGTCCCAGACACACAACCTCATGCTCATTCACTCTGACCTAGCAATTCTATTTCTTTGTAGAAGAAATACTTGCTCATGTACACGATGACCAATATACAAGAATGCGAACCACAGCACTGTTCAGATGGCAACAGGTTGAAACCCATCTAAATGCTCATGCCCAGAAATCTGACTGCATGAGTCACTGCATATTACCTAGGTCTGCGGGACTAACAAGAAGCTCAACAGGCATTCTGATAAGGGCATGGGGGAGAAGCAAGCTGCAAAACAATGGACCGTACATGTGTACACTTACACATACCTATATAAATGCATACAAAAATGGCTGGAAGAATCCATAAGCAAGGAATGAAAATGAGGAGGGGAAGGGATTTTCGTTCCTTTTGTTTTGCTTTGTTTTGAGACAAGGTCTCACCCAAGGTCTAGCTAGACCCAAGGTCTAGCCCAAGCTAGAGTGCAGTGGCATGATCACAGCTCACTGCAGTCTTGACCTCCTGGGCTCAAGAAATCTTCCCACCTCAGCCTCCTGAGTGACTGGGACTACAGGCACACACCACCATGGCTGGTTAATTTTTAAGACTTTTTGTACAGATGAGGTCTCACCCTGTTGCCCAGGCTGGTCTTGAACTCCTGGGATCAAGTAATTCTCCTGCCTCGGCCTCACAAAGTGTTGGGGTTACAGGCCTGAGCCACTGTGCCTGGCCCTTCATTCATTTTTTTTTTTTTTCTTGAGACCGAGTCTTGTTCTGTCACCTAGGCTGGAGTGCAGTGGCACAATCTCGGCTCACCGCAACCTCCACCTCCCTGGTTTAAGCAATTCCCCTGCCTCAGCCTCCTCAGTAGCTAGGATTACAGGCGCACCCCACCATGCCCAGATGATTTTTTTTGTATTTTTAGTAGAGACGGGGTTTCACCATGTTGGCCAGACTGGTCTTGAACTCCTAACCTCAGGCAATCCGCCCACCTCGGCCTCCCAAAGTGCTGGGATTACAGGTGTGAGCCACCACGCCTCGCCCTTCAATTTTTAATATGAAGACAGAACTCTAGGAACTCTGAAACTCTGGTGCTCCAGGAGTTACAAAACAGTGATGCATTTTCTACTATGTATTCAACTAACAAATATTTACTAAGCACTTACTACATGTGAGTCACTGTTCTAGGTACCAGGAATACAACAGTGAATAAGACTATGTCCCTGCCTTCATGTAGTTCACATTAGAAAAACAACAGATAAGCCCAGATACTCCCCACACAGGTGTGTGTATACGTAATGCCAGGTAGAGACAAATGCTATGAAGGGAAAGAGAGCAGAGGGAAAGAACAGAAGGTGCTACTTTAGAAAGGGTGAAAGGAAGGCCTCTTAGAAGAGGTGACATTTGATTGGAGATGTAAATGAAGGGTTAACCATCATCAGGCTTTCACTGGTTATATACACCAGAATCCCTTGAAATGCAGAAGGAATAAGTACTGACAAGATCAGGGCCACCTGGAAACAGGTATGTCAAAAGCAATCTTCGGCCGGGTGCAGTGGCTCACACCTGTAATCCCAACACTTTGGGAGGCCAAGGTGGGAGGACTGCTTGAGCCCAGGAGTTCAAGACCAGCCCGGGCAACATGGTGAGACCCCGTCTCTACAAAAAAAAAAAAAAAAAATACAAAAATTAGCTGGGCATAGTGTTGCATTTTTGTGGTCCCAGCTACTGGGGAGGCTGAGGTGGGAGCATCTCTTGAGCCCAGGAGGTTGAGGCTGCAGTGAGCTACGTTCCTGCCTCTGCACTCCAGCCTGGGGGAGAAAGAAAAGGAAAAGGGAAGGGGAAGGGGAAGGGAAGGAAAAGGGGAAGGGGGAAGGGGGAAGGGGAAGGGAGAAGGGGAAGGAGAAAGGGGAAGGGGAGGTGGAAGGGGGAAGGGGAAGGGTTCCTCTAGATCACACAGTCTAACAACTGCCCCACCAGCATATAACTTTCCTAAAAAAAAAAAAAAACTCTAAAAGGAATAATGTTCTTTTGAAGAATTTTCTCAACCACTCTCTCTGCTCTACCACCGCTACCACTGTTTATCAAATACACAGTCCAGGTGAACCACAGAGTGATGTATACCTGCTTGGCTCATGTTCCTACAAGGCTCCTGATAAGCTGATTCAAAGTGCCTGGCATACAACAAGAGCTCTGTGAATTCTGATTAACAAACACAGTAACAAGTGAATCCCCAACAAGTACTATTATGATAACATCACACTTAGTTTTGGGGCTTGTATTAAGGTCTGGGGTGCTTTTTGCTACAAGTTATGTTTCAAATGCTGGCATAAACATATACACTCCAACACTTGGCCAATGCCATTTTAAATGCTCAGCACAGCCATCCACCCTGCTCTTTGGCCTTGTAAGTGAACCTCTAAACACAGAAAATGGCCTTGGTTCTCAGTTCAAAGATATGTCAGAGAGATTTCTAAGCCAAAGCGGGTAGAAAAACACGAGGGCACAACAGTCGCCTGATCTCCTGTCCTTGTGTACTGTTTGCTCTCTGTTACCTCCCTCATCCACATGGGACATCAGCCAGATGAGCCCCATGTGAGAAACACAAAAAATATTTGTTGAACTGATTTCTTTTTAAAGTAAAGGAAATAAAATGTTTGAGACAAAGAAATTTAGAAAGCCAGTTGCAGGTGAAAAACTGAAAACTATGGTTTCCTAAGGGGAAATGCATTTTAGGAAAATATACAGTCATACACCACATAATGACATATGGTCAACAATGGACCACATATATGACAGAGGTTGCATGAGATTGTAATACTGTATTTTTTCTGTACCTTTCCATGTATAGATATGTTTAGATATACAAATACTTACCATTGGGTTACAATTACCTACAGTATTCAGTACAGTAAGATGCTGTACAGATTTGTGGCCTAGGTACAATAGGCTGTACCATATAAGCAGGGTGTACAGTAGGCTATACCATCTATTTGTATGAATATACCCTATAATGTTTACATAATGATGAAATCATCTAATAACACATTTCTCAAAACCTATTCCTGCTGCTAAGTGACACATGACTGTATCTTAAAATCCTCTAGGCCGGGCGCGGTGGCTCACGCCTGTAATCCCAGCACTTTGGGAGGCCGAGGCGGGCGGATCACGAGGTCAGGAGATCGAGACCATCCTGGCTAACACGGTGAAACCCCGTCTCTACTAAAAATACAAAAAATTAGCCGGGCGTGGTAGCGGGCGCCTGTAGTCCCAGCTACTCGGGAGGCTGAGGCAGGAGAATGGCGTGAACCCGGGAGGCGGAGCTTGCAGTGAGCCGAGATCGCGCCACTGCATTCCAGCCTGGGCGACAGAGCGAGACTCCGTCTCAAAAAAAAAAAAAAAAAAATCCTCTATCATGTAAAAGGAAGAAAACTAGAGATAGTTTTGAATTCCAATGTGGCCAAAAACATAATAAACAACACAGCTACTTGCTGCTAATCAAAAGTAAAACACCCAAACAATTCAGAACAGTCCATATATTTGGTGTTAAACTGCTTCTGTTTAACTACTAATGTAAATGTACTTATTGAAAAAAAATATATATAATAAGTATGTTCCTCATTTCTCCACAGGTAGCCACTGTTCATTTTATATGTACTGTTCCAAAAAGTTTCCCTCACTCATGATGCACATACACACACACACACGCACACAATTATATTTGAATTCAACAAATAACTCCTGAAGGCCTATGCAGTGGGCAATACACAAGGAACATGATGGATATTATTCCTGATTTAAATTTTTCACAGAAATAGTATCATTCAATATATCACTCTCAAAACATTTTGTAATGATAAACTTCACCACCACCACAAGGAGCAGGTGAACTTAATAGAACTATCACAATTTTACAGATCAGGGCACTGAAAAGAGAAGTCAAGTACTATGCCTAGAAACTTACCCAGGGCTACAGAAACCAAGTTAGCACTAACACACAAGTGATGGGACTGAAGAACTAGTATTCTTTCCATTAAATAAATGTGTTAAGTGATAATAAAGGTGAACCCAGTAAGAATGCAATCCAGAAGATATGTTTAAATTTAGAAATCAAACGATGAAAGAAGGCTTGTAAGACTGAGCTTACCTAAATGCAGCAACTAGCGGTGCATAAATTGAGTCCCCATCATAAACATATAAATGGTCCCAACTACACTCTGTAGCAAAATGATTGAAACGAAGTCTCATTATTCTATTTGGCCTGAAAAGAATAAAAAAAGTAATTTATAATAAAGTTATCACAACTATCAGACATTTGAGAATATAAAAATTCAGATTTTTAAATTAATAATATGTAACACAGTCTAACAACTGCCCCACCAGTATTCCTTCATTTGTCAAAGATTTATTTAGTATTCTCCAAGTACAAGAGACTACTAAACATGCAATGGGAAACAAAACTGATGTGGTCCATGATTCTGGGCCTTACAGTCCATTCAGTGGCCACTCTTTAACAGCTTCTGAACCAACCCATTAGCCCTTCCATTTCTGCACTTCCTCATTCAACTTCAGATTCCACACTACGTCATTTCATAAACATGCCTGCCAATCCTCTAAATTTGCCAGCCCCTCTGATTTTTCAGGACACTGGCTGGCAAAAGCTCTGTTGTACAGGAAACCAGTTATCTGCTCTAAGATTGAACCAGGAAAAAAAAAGTGGGAGGGGGCGGTGGAGGGAAAAAAAAAACAAAACTAAGCTGTATTGAAGAAAGCCAAACTTCTATACCACACCACTGGGTAGACTGGTTCCAGCAATGGTCTCTGCTCTCCAACTGCAAATGGCACTTAGATTCTGCCAGCAGTCCTACCAATTCTCTCTCCCTCTCCACAACTGCTACTCTCAACGACTATTTCAAACCACCCAGTCCCACCTCCCTGCTTATGCTCAGCAACCAGATAAAAAAACCCTAAAATTCCCATTTTCCAAAATTCTCTTTCTGTTTCTCTTTCTGTTTCTCAAGTATTTGACATCTCCCTCTCATCTGGAACTTTTGCATCCACATTCAAATCTGCTTAAGTATCACATATTTTACAAAAATAAAAACAAAAAGCCTCAAATCCCAACTCTCCCTCTACCAAATACCTGCCCTACCCTTTCTCCTCCTAAAAAGGTAAAACTTCGCAGAAGACTTTGCTTCCTCCAGTGACTCTATCTCACTCACCCCTTCACTCTCTAGCCTGGCTTCAGCCCAACACTCCACTCAGAAAGCTCTGGGAATATCAACATCATTATATCCTGCTGATGCCTAATTCTATTTCTCCAGTTTAGAACTTTCCTATACCCCACACTTTTCTAACATCTCTAGGTTGACAACTAAATAAATACATAAACAAGTAAACTCAGATGGTGATGAGTACTGTGAAGAAATTAAAAGAAGGTGATGTGGCAGTGCAAAAAGTCGTAGGGAGATAGGCCAGTAAGCTTTGGAGATGTGAGAATGACAAGAGACAAGCCATGTGAAAAGTGCTGGGAAAAACGTTTCAGACGGAGGGAACAGCACAGTCTTAAGGGAGAAAGAGGCTGATGTGTCCAAGCAACATGAAGAAAATCAGCATATCTGAAACACAGCAAACAGAGAAAACCTTAAGAGATGAGAAGTGGGAGGTGGGCAAGGGGCAAAAGCAGAACTCAGGAGGCCAATTTCAAGGCTATTAAGTGGCCCAGGAGAGAGACGATGGTGGGTCTCCCAGCTGTAGAGATGGAGGTGAAAAGCAGTCTGGTGATGGATTGGGGAGACATTCCAAAGGGAAAACTGACAGAACTTACTGACAGGCTAAATGTAGGGAATAAGGAAAAGGGGGAATGAGAGTTTGTTGCTTAGTTTTTCACTTACACTGAGGAGGAACAACCATTGAGAGCACATTCAGAAAAACAGTGGAGGAGGGTGTCAGGTGGCAATGAACTGATAGGACACAGCAGAGCTCCTTAGAGCAGCAGTTCTCAAAATGAAGTCCACAAAATGCTACAGGCCCTGAGACCCTTATGGGAGGTCCCAGGAGGTCAAAACTATATTCACAGTAAAACTAAGATAGCATATATTTTATAACCATGCTGGCATTTACTAATGGTTCAAGGAGAAATGGTGGGTGAAACTGTGGGCATCTTAGAACAAATCAAGACAGCAGCAGCAAATGGTACTAGTGATCACTGCTATTCTTCACCACGAACCACTCATAGAAAAAAGAAAAGCTGCCAGTTTCATTTAAGGATATCTTGATTAAGCAGTTAAAAACTTCTAATGTTATTAAATCCTCACCAGTTAGTAGACATCTCTTTAATATTCTGACAAGATGGAGAGTAAATAGGTGGGGGGAGGGGGGAGGGATAGCATTGGGAGATATACCTAATGCTAGATGACGAGTTAGTGGGTGCAGTGCACCAGCATGGCACATGTATACATATGTAACTAACCTGCACAATGTGCACATGTACCCTAAAACTTAAAGTATAATAAAAAAATTAAAAAATAAAAAAAAGAAATGAAAAAAATAATAATAAAAAAATAAAATAAAATAAAATAAAATAAAGAAAATGAGGCACATATACACCATGGAATACTATGCAGCCATAAAAAAGGATGAGTTCATGTCCTTTGTAGGGACATGGATGAAGCTGGAAACCATCATTCTCAGCAAACTATTGCAGGGACAGAAAACCAAACACCACATGTTCTCACTTATAGGTGGGAATAGGACAATGAGAACACTTGGACATAGGAAGGGGAACATCACACACCGGGGTTTGTCGTGGGGTGGGGGGAGTGGGGAGGGATAGCATTAGGGGATATACCTAATGTAAATGATGAGTTAATGGGTGCAGCACACCAACATGGCACATGTATACATATGTAACAAACCTGCACGTTGTGCACATGTACCCTAGAACTTGAAGTATAATAAAAAAATAAAATAAAAAAATGTAAAAAAAAAAACAAGAAAAAAATATATAAAACACTTCTTTTGCTTAATAGAAGCACAGTGGTTTTCTCAATGAAAACCACTTTTGCAACTGTTTAAGTTGCTAGCTGAACTAGCTACTTTTTTCTTAGAACACCATTTACCATGTTTACTTGAAAGAACAATCAATAAACTACGGTTATTCAGAGTTGGATATCTGGCAGACATTTTCTTAAAAATGAGGAAAGCAAGCCTGCCACTTCAAAGAAAACAACTGACAGTATTTGCTGCCAAAGATAAAATACAAGCTTTCAAGTAGTAATTAGAATTTTGGAAAATTTGTTAACTGCCATACTTAGAACTTTTTGAGGAGATTGATGGGGATACTAACCAATGTGATTTTTAAAATATTATGTAATGGAATAAATATATCAACATATGGAAGATCTGCATAATTCAATGACCTGTTGTTTTCCAAATGACCTATATATCATGTTACCAAAATATGGATGGGCAAAAGATCCATTCAGTGCAAGAAAACCAATGGATTTTAATTTAACAAGTACCAAAAGTTCCTTAACATAGTTTCAGATTCCATACTGCAATTTACTTTTAAGAAATTACTACTTGTTAAGTTTTGATATGGTATCAAAGAAGACTATATACAATAATTTTAAAATACTGTACTATTAAAATCTCTTTTTTCCTACTTCATATTCAAGTGAGGCCTCATCTTCTTGACACGCTTCAACCACAATAACATACTGCAACAAAGTGAATGCAGAAGATATGACAATCCAGCTGTCTTTTATTAAGCTACACATTAAAGAGATTTGCAAAAATGTAAAACAATGCCATTTTTTCACTACAATTTTTTAAATATAGGGTTTTTTTCATTAAAATATCATTTGTACTAACATGGCTTATAATTGTTGCTTTTAAATGAATAAATAATATTTCTTGGTTGTAAGTTCTAATATGGTGAACACAAATAGAAAAACATAAACTTATTTGGGGCCGGGTGCAGTGGCTCACTCCTGTAATCCCAGCACTTTGTGTGGCCAAGGCAGGCGGATCACTTGAGGTCAGGAGTTCGAGACCAGCCTGGCCAACATGGTGAAACCCTGTCTCTACTACAAGATACAAAAACTTAGCTGGGCATGGTGGCACATGCCTGTAATCCCAGCTACTTGGAAGGCTGAGGCAGGAGAATCGCTTGAACCCAGGAGGCAGACGTTGCAGTGAGCCAAGATCACACCACTGCACTCCAGCCTGGGCCACAGAGCGAGATGACATCTCAAAATAAATAAATAAATAAATAATAAATAAACTTATTTGGAATCCTCAAAGTTTAAAAGTGTAAAGAGGTCCTGAGACCAAAAAAGTCTGAGAAGTACTGCTTTAAAAGTCTCCCATGAAGACAAGGAGAAAAAAGGCCAACAGCCAGAGGGACACAGTGGGTCCAGAGAAGGGATCATTTAGGCAATAACAGTTATTACAATTTTCTTATCCACAACAAAAATAGATACTTAGAAAAATAACACAATATTGCAATTTTCTAATGCTTTAAGCAAACCATTAAAAATATGGAACCGTGGCTGGGCGCAGTGGCTCACACCTGTAATCCCAGCACTTTGGAAGGCTGAGGCGAGCGGATCACTTGAGGTCAGGAGTTCGAGACCATCCTGGTTAACATGGTGAAACCCCTTCTCTACTAAAAATACAAAATTAGCCTGGCGTGGTGGCATGCACCTGTAATCCTAGCTGCTCAGGAGCTGAGTCAGGAGAATCGCTTGAACCTGGGAGGCGGAGGTTGCAGTGAGCGGAGATCACGCCACTGCACTCCAGCCTGGGTGACAAGAGCAAAACTCTGTCCCATAAAAATAAATAAATATATATGTGTGTGTGTGTGTGTGTGTGTGTGTGTGTGTGTGTGTAACCGTTTCTGAACTATTACAGTTGGAAATACACAAATTTGTGGTGTGTACAATTCATTTGCAGCATTAAATCAACATGAAACTTTTAAATTAATGAAGGCTAAGATAAAATTCACTTGTCAAATGAAAGGTTATCAAGTAATGTTTTAAGAACTTTATGCTACAGATTGTTAATTTTACTTGTGGGAAAACTAATGTCACACTGACTTCTATGCTAAAAAAACAAAAATTAAGTCAGCCATTTCTACTTACTGTCCTTCAATGAGCCACGTGCACTTCGTTTTGTATTTATAATTTCCAGGTCCATCTGTCACAAACCCAGAAGATCCAGTTAGTCTGTAATTTAAATCAAGAAAGAAAACTTAAGTCTGCTATATTAATTTCATATATTTTTATATATTTTATATATTTTCATATATTAATATTTCTTAATTCTTAATATAATACAAATTAAACATAATGGGTACATTAACAAACACTATAACCAGTAGAAAATGACTAGTTATATTCAGATTGCATAAATTTAGATGAAACAAATACTTATTGCATACATTAAAAAAGAAGACAGAAAAATATTAAAACCAACAGGAATGAACAAAACATACCTAAATCTTATCTTAATTTTATGTCATCCTTTTTCCTTTTGGTAAAGACAGGTCTCGCTATGTTGCCCACGCTGGTCTCAAATTCCTGGCCTCAAAAGATCCTCCCATCTCGGCTTCCCAAAGCACCAGAATTACAGGCTTGAGCCCTCACACCCAGCGATAAATTTCTTAAATTTATTTTTTGTAGAAACAGAGTCTCACGATGTTGCCCACGCTTGAACTTCTGGCCTCAAGCAATCCTCCTATCTTGGCCTCCCAAAATGCTGGGTTTACAGGCATGAGCACTGCCACCAGCAAGTATCTGTTACTATATAAAAATGTTTAATATTTAAGAAGGACGCTATTTCCTTCATCATGGCTGTTTCCAGATATTTTTCTTCCCTCTTTCATTAACATCAGCCACTCTGAACACATGCTCGCTTCTGGATCTGCCTCCCTTACCTTCTGAGTCATCTCCCAGCTACTCCTAATGCACTAAAGATATTAACAAATCGTTCACTCTCTTCCACTCATCTGCATCAACATCTAAGATGTTCCATCCAAAATCCAGTCTCTCCATTTCTTAACCTCACCATTAACTATCTTTTCCTCCACCCCTCTTTAGCCATCCCCTTCTCTGGCCCTTGCTATTACCAGTAACAACATTACCACAAAAAAAGCACCCTGACCTCTGACTACTATCTCATCTCTCCAGTTTATTCCCCCTTTCCAATGAGACTTTGGCCCCATGGAGACCACCAATCCATTGAACTATCATTTCTTCACTGTTCACCACCTACCATCCACACATTTCATTTTCTCACATACCTAGTTAAGACTCCATAATCCATCACGAGAATCATATCCTGCAAACTCCCTGATGTTCTTGCCTTTCTCTTCCTCTGCTGTACTTGCCTGATAGAGATGTATCCATGCCCTACTCCCCAAAATCCATTCCACCCCAAAATGTTAGTCGAAGCCAATCATGTTTTCCCATGCCCCTTGCCACTGACTGATTAGAAATCTGTATCAATTAAAATTAGGTGTGGACCAGGCATGGTGGCTCTTGCCTGAAATCACAGCAGTTTGGAGGCTGAGGCAGGAGGACTGCTTGAGGCCATGAGTTCAAGATCAGGCTGGCCAACACAGCAACACCCTCATATCTATTTTTAAAAAAGAATATGTATCTATATAGATATAGATATACATCATATATAGATATAGATGTAGAAAAAAGATTAGGCTTTAATGCAACTGTCAGAAAAACCTAAATAGTAATGGACTAACCACCAAGATAAAAAAAACCCAAAGATAAGCAATCCAGAGCATGCAATGCATTTCCATGATCATCAGGGACCTAATGCTGTTCTATACTATTGCTCTGTCATCCCCAACATGTGGCTTCTACCTCATAATCCAAGATAGCGGCTCAAGCTCCAGCTATTATACCCAAATTCTACCCAGCAGGAAGGAGGAAAAGAAAACGGGGGGGTACACCCTCTCTCCCTCTGTTAAGTCACACATGAAAATTCAACTTACATTCGATTAGCCAGAAGTTACTGACATGTCTACAAGTAGAGGAAGGCTGAAAAATGCAGCCGTTATCCCAGATGATCATGTACCCATCAAAAAATCAGAATTCTTTTTACTAGAGAAGTAGAAAAAGGCTATGATGTGTAACCATGAATCTCTGACACAGAATGTAATCTAATACTTAGATGTGAGGGCACATCTGATGGATGATTTCCAGGAAATATTTTCTTATTCTTAGGAAAGTGTGTGGACAGGGAGACATGCCACCTAGATCTCCTCTTCAAGGAAGGACTTGCTGCCAGCAGCAGCAGGGAATGTGGTCAGCAGAACATCAATTCCTTCAGGGGCTGCCTTGCTACAGGTCATGCCCTTCCCATGGCAGCCCACACCATGAAGAGGCCCATACCATAGGCTGGGCGTGGTGGCTCACGCCTGTAATCCCAGCACTTTGGGAGGCCAAGGCGGGTGGATCACGAGGTCAGGAGATCGAGACCATCCTGGCTAACACAGTGAAACCCCGTCTCTACTAAAATTACAAAAAATTAGCTGGGCGTGGTGGTGGGCGCCTGTAGTCCCAGCTACTCGGGAGGTTGAGGCAGGAGAATAGCGTGAACCCAGGAGGCAGAGCTTGCAGTGAGCCAAGATCGCGCCACTGCACTCCAGCCTGGGCGACAGAGTGAGACTCTGTCTCAAAAAAAAAAAGAGTATAAAGGCCCAAGCATTTCAATCCAACATGGGACAACTCAAATAAGCAATCCTGCCCCCACAGTTCCCCTTTGTCAGGCCTGCATTGGAGCTCAACTTCTTCCTTTGCCTAATTATGCTTTTCCTTCCAATAACACCTTCCTCTACAATACTATAATCAAGTTGTAACCCAAACTCAGCCTTAGCAAATGCTTTTTAAAAAACAACCTATGATAAACATCCAAGAAGAGACCATTCTTCTCTATCTGGACTTTGCTATAGCTGGATTTTACAGCTGGAAGTACTACAGCCTGAACACAACGCCTGTGCTATGCCTGAACACAAAGCCAACACCAAGAATGACAAATCAAAGGAATGCAAAGTCCCTGAAAAACAGTATCAACCACCCACAAAAACCACCTTACTCTAGGCTTCTAGTTTCTTAGGTAAATTTCCCACTGGTTATTGTTTTATTCCGTGTGTGTGTACACACTTCCTTGATTCTTTGTCTTGGGGCCTAATATAAAAGGTTTTATGGCTCTCCACTATGCTGCTTCTGCTCCTAAGAGTTTCAGTGGACTTCACGTGAACACTTAGGTTTGCAAATCAGCATCAGTTTTATAAAACAAATATTTGTGTTTTTTGTTTTTTGTTTTTGAGACAGAATCTCACACTGACACCCAGGCTGGAGTGCAGTGGCAAGCTCAATGGCTCACTCCAGCCTCAAACTCCTGGGCTTAGGTGATCCTCCTACCAAAGCCTCTGGAGTAGCTGAGACTACAGGCACACACCACTATGCCTAGCTAATTTATTTTAATTAATTTTGTTTTTTAGAGATGAGTCTTGCTATGTTGTCCAGGCTGGGAAACAGGTCAGTTTTATTTTAAATGTTTACTTAGTATCTTTAAACATACATATTTATATAATTTTACAGATAATGCATAGATATGATCACAGACGAATCTTGTTGTTGTTGTTGTTGTTGTTGTTTTAACCCACTTCCCCAGTTACTCTGACCCACCCTTGACCAAGGTAAACATTTAACCACCTACCAGGAATTCTTAAATACTTTTCTTCATACTCATGAGCCTATGATATAGGCATGGTTCTCTTAAATTATTTTTTGGTTACACAAATTATTATATACTTTTCTGCATCTTTCTTTGCTCACTCAACAAAACCTTACGGAAATTTCTCAAACTAATCTGGTATTAGTCTAATTTATTTTTTCTTTATGTAGCATAGTATCCCACCTATGGAGGTATCACTTTTTCCTGCCTTTCCCTACTAATGTTCATTTTGTTTTCAGTTGACTGACAATATGCACATCACTGCAATAAATATCCCTATACATATGGCCTTACTTGGGCTTTTATGTCTAAGAGTAGAAATCTTAGGAGGAGGTATACTAGGCCAAAAGGAATATGAATTTTAATTGTTAACCAAGCTGTCAAATTATTTTCCAAAAGGCTGTAACAATTCACATTTGCACCAGCAATGTATGAGAATATGCTATTCCCCACATCCTCTCAGCACTAGGTGTTCCTGTTTCTTTTAAATTATGTGAGTTTTTAATTCAAAATTCCCTGTGTTCTAATAAATGGCCAACAAGTGGTTACTAAAAGTTTAAAGGAATTTGAAAGAGAAAGGCCAGGAATATCAACCTAAAATTTCAGGTCAAGTTTTACAGTATCATTGATAATCTAGGTGTGGGCATGGGCAACACCTGTACACTAGGAAAACCTAGTTCACTGGCAGTCACACAAAGGCATCAAACTGAAAGGCATTTCAATAATGTAAGGCTAAAATATGAAGAATAAAGACCTTGCCACCACCAATTTCTTAGTTCAAGAATACTGAGGTAATTCTGCAGTGGAAACAAATATAGGGAGAATAGGGGAACAGGAGGCAGGTTTCAAAGGACTCGTCTCATAGTTATTTCTTTCTACTTTACCAGTATTATTACCAGACAACGCAGCCTATAAAATCTCAACTTTTCTCATCTGTTAAGATTTTCTTTATGGTCAAGTACCTTGGACATTAAACTTTGACCACAGTTCCTTGGACATTAAAAAAAGATCTATTCCAGGAATTTAAAACACTATTTCTATACACATATGATTAAGATTATTAAATGCACTATTCAATTCCTTATACTCGTATTTTCATCTACTAGACCTAATTCTGATAAACATGTACTGAAATCCTGGCCAGGCGTAGTGGCTCACACCTGTAATCCCCAGCACTTTGGGAGGCTGAGGTGGGTGGATCACGAGGTCGGGAGTTTGAGACCAGCCTAGCCAACGTGGCAAAAACCCATCTCTACTAAAAATACAAAAAAAAAAAAGAAAAAAAAATTAGCCAGGCATGGTGGCAAGTGCCTATAATCCCAGCTACTCGGGAGGCTGAGGGAGGAGAATCGCTTGAACCTGTGGGGCAGAGGCTGCAGTGAGCTGAGATCGCACCACTTCACTCCAGCCTGGGAGAAAGAGCAAAACTCTGTCTCCAAAAGAAAAAAACATATATATATAATATATAATTTTTTAATATATATATTATATATATATATAAATCTCATACCATGCCTGCTCTACCACACTACTCAGATTATTTTTGCTTTATGTGTTAAGCTTTTTAGCCATACAAGATTATGGCTATTGGATTTTCATAAAATATGCCTTTTATGATGTTAACAATCCACTTACCTAGTTTGATATTTAAATTTCACCTTGTCTAATATTATTATAATTATTGATCTTTTGGTTATTTTCCTGTATCTTACATCTTTATTCAACTCTTTTATTTTCAGCTTTACTTATCAAGTTTTCAATAGTTTGCTTCTTCGAAACAGGACTTGGTTAGGTTTTGTTTCTTAAACTAACCTGACAGTATTTTACTGCCACAATATATAATCTGTTTGCATTTAGTTTAGTGACTGCTATACCAATTTGATTCCTTCCAACCAAATCTTTAATCAATCTTAGTGAAAAGTAATTTACATATAATAAAATGCAGCCACTGATGTGTACAATTTGATAAGCTTTGACAAATGTATACACAAAGTGTAATCTCCTCAAACAGGATATAAAACAGTTTCCTCACCCCCAAAAGCTCTCTTATATCCCTCTCCAGGTAATCTCTCCCAACCTCCACCTCAAACATTGATCTTATCTTTCCCACTATAGATCAGTTTTACAGAATTTGACTTAATGGAATCAAAGACACTTTTGTGTCTTGCTTCTTTTTATCAACATAACTTTTCTAAGTATTGTATCAATAGTTTGCTCCTTCACACTGCTGAGTAGTATTCTCTTGTATGAAAATACACAACTTGTTTATTGGTGGACACTTGGATTACGTAATTATAGGCTTTTATAAATGAAGTTAAGACACGTATAAATCTTTCTGTGGACAGGTATCTACATTTCTCTTGAATAAATATACAAAATGAAATCACTGGATTAAAGTATAGATATGCACTTAAATTTTTAAGAAACTGCCAAACTGTTTCCACCTTACAATCACATTTTCAAGATATGAGAGTTCTACTTATTCCACATCAGTTCCCACATTTGGTATAATCAGACTTTTTATTGCTTATTCCAGTAGGTATGCACTATTCTATCTCATTATGGTATAAATTTGTATTTTTCTGATATTTAAAGATTTTCAGAGGCTGGGCACAGTGGCTTATGTCTATAATCTCAGCACTTTGGGAGGCCAAGGCAGGTGGATCATTTAAGCCCAGGAGTTCAAGACCAGCCTAAGCAACATAGTGAAACCTAGTCTCTACAAAAACACAAAAAACTTAGCCAAGTGTGGTGGTATGCGCCTGTAGTCCCAGCTACTTGGGAGGTTAAGGTAGAAGGATTGCTTGAGCCCAGGAAGCAGAGGTTGCCATGAGCCAAGATGGTGCCACTGTACTGCAGCTTGGATGACAGAGGGAGAAACTGTCTCAAAAAAATAAGATAAAAAAGATTCTGAGTACCCTTTCTGGTGTTTACTGATCATCTGCACATATTATTTTGTAATGTGCTTGTTATTATTTTTGCCCTTTTTTCTAACTTTTATTTTAGGTTCAAGGGGTCCATGTGCAGGTTTCACAGGGGTTTGATGTACAGATAATTCCATCACCCAAGTAATCAGCGTAATACCTGAAAGGCAGTTTTTCAATCCTTACTCTCCTCCCACTCTCCACCCTCAAGCAGGTCCCGGTGTCTGTTGCTCCCTTGTGTCCATGTGTACTCAATGATTAGTTCCTACTTGTAAGTGAGAGTATGTGGTATTTGGTTTTCTGTTACTGCATTAATTCACTTAGAATAATGGCCTCCCTGCATCCATGCTGCTCAAAGGACACAACTGCATTCATTTTTACAGGTGGTAGTATTCCACGGAGTATATGTACCACATTTTTTTTTTTTGAGACGGAGTTTCGCCCTGTTGCCCAGGCTGGAGTGCAATGGCGCAATCTCGGTCAACTGCAACCTCCGCCTCCTGGGTTCCAGCAATTCTCTGCCTCAGCCTCCTGAGTAGCTGGGATTACAGGCGCCCACCACCATGCCCGGCTAATTTTTCTATTTTTAGTAGAGACGGGGTTTCACCATCTTGGCCAGGCTGGTTTGAACTCCTGATCTCGTGATCTACCCACCTCAGCATCCCAAAATGCTGGGATTACAGGTGTGAGCCACCACGCCCGGCCTTCTGGTTTTTTTGTTTGTTTTTATACTTTAAGTTCTGGGATACATGTGCAGAACATGTAGGTTTGTTACACAGGTACACACGTGCCATGGTGGTTTGCCGCACCCATCAAGCCGTCATCTACATTAGGTATTTCTCCTAATGCTGTCCCTCCCCTAGCCCCCCACCCTCCCAACAGGCCCCAGTATGCGATGTTCCCCTCCCTGTGTTCATGTGTTCTAACTGTTCAACTCCCACTTATGAGTGAAAACATGCAATGTTTGGTTTTGTTCCTGTGATAGTTTGCTGAGAATGGTGGTTTCCAGCCTCATCATGTCCCTGCAAAGGACATGAACTCATTTGTTTCTATGGCTGCACAGTATTCCATGGTGTATATGTGCCACATTTTCTTTATCCAGTCTATCATCGATGGGCATTTGGGTTGGTTCCAAGTCTTTGCTATTGTGAGTAGTGCTGCAATAAACATATGTGTGCATGTGTCTTTACAGCAGAATGATTTATAATCCTTTGGGTATACACCCAGTAATGGGATTGCTGGGTCAAATGGTATTTCTGGTTCTAGAACCTTGAGTCACCCCACTGTCTTCCACAATGATTGAACTTATTTACACTCCTACCAACAGTGTAAAAGCGTTCCTATTTCTCCACATCCTCTCCAGCATCTGTTGTTTCCTGCCTTTTTAATGATCACCGTTCTAACTGGTGGGAGATGGTATCTCATTGTGGTTTTGACTTGCATTTCTCTAATGACCAGTGATGATTAACTTTTTTTCATGTTTTTTGGCTGCATAAATGTCTTCTTTTGAGAAGTGTCTGTTCATATCCTTTGCCCACTTTTTGATGGGGTTGTTTGCTTTTTTTCTTGTAAATTTGGTCTTTGTAGATTCTGGGTATTAGTCCTTTGTCAGATGGATAGATTGCAAAAATTTTCTCCCATTCTGTAGGTTGCCTGTTCACTCTGATGATAGTTTCTTTTGCTGTGCAGAAGCTCTTTAGTTTAATTAGATCCCATTTGTCAATTTTGGCTTTTGTTGCCTTTGCCTTTGGTGTTTTAGTCATGAAGTCTTTGCCCATACCTATCTCCTGAATGGTATTGCCTAGGTTTTCTTCTAGGGTTTTTATGGTTTTAGGTCTTACGTTTAAGTCTTTAATCCATCTTCAATTAATTTTTGTATAAGGTATAAGGAAGGGGTCCAGTTTCAGTTTTCTGCATATGGCTAGCCAGTTTTCCCGACACCATTTATTAAATAGGGAATCCTTTCCCCATTGTTTGTTTTTGTCAGGTTTCTCAAAGATCAGATGGTTGCAGATGTGTGGCGTTATTTCTGAGGCCTCTGTTCTGTTCCATTGGTCTATATATCTGTTTTGGTATCATGCTGTTTTGGTTACTGTAGCCTTGTAGTATAGTTTGAAGTCAGGTAGCAAGATGCCTCCAGCTTTGTTCTTTTTGCTTGGGGCTGTCTTGGTTATATGGGCTCTTTTTTGGCTCCATATGAAATTTAAAGTAGTTTTTTCTAATTCTGTGAAGAAAGTCAATGGTAGCTTGATGGGGATAGTATTGAATCTATAAATTACTTTCAGCAATATGGCCATTTTCACTATATTGACTCTTCCTATCCATGAGCATGGAATGTTTTCCATTTGTGTCCTCTCTTATTTCCTTGAGCAGTGGTTTGTAGTTCTTGAAGAGGTCCTTCACATCCCTTGTAAGTTGGATTCCTAGGTATTTTATTCTCTTTGTAGCAATTGTGAATGGGAGTTCACTCGTTATTTGGCTCTCATGAGTTTGTCTATTATTATGTATAGGAGTGCTTGTAATTTTTGCACAGTCTATTATTGATGTATAGGAATGCTTGTGATTTTTGCACACTGATTTTGTATCCTGAGACTTTGCTGAAGTTGCTTATCAGCTTAAGGAGATTTGGGGCTGAGACGATGGGGCTTTCTAAATATACAATCATGTCATCTGCAAACAGAGATAATTTGACTTTCTCTCTTCCTACTTGAATACCCTTTATTTCTTTCTCTTGTCTGATTGCCCTGGCCAAAACTTCCATATTAGGTTGAATAGGAGTGGTGAGAGAGGGCATCCTTGTCTTGTGCCAGTTTTCAAAGGGAATGGTTCCAGCTTTTTCCCATTCAGTATGATATTGGCTGTGGGTCTGTCATACATAGCTCTTATTATCTTGAGATAAGTTCCACCAATACCTAGTTTATTTAGAGTTTTTAGCATGAAGAGCTGTTGAATTTTATTGAAGGCCTTTTCTGCATCTATTGAGATAATCATGTGTTTTTGTCATTGGTTCTGTTTATGTGATGGATTACGTTTATTGATTTCCGTTATGTTGAACCCATCTTGCATCCCAGGGATGAAGCCAACTCGATTGTGGTGGATAAGCTTTTAGATGTGCTGCTGGATTCGGTGTGCCAGTATTTTATTGAGGATTCTCGCATCGATGCTTATCAAGGATATTGGCCTGAAATTTTCTTTTTTTGTTGTGTCTCTGCCAGGTTTTGGTGTCAGGATGATGCTGGCCTCATCAAATGAGTTAGGGGGAAGTCCCTCTTTTTCTGTCGTTTGGAATTGTTTCAGAAGGAATGGTACCAGCTCCTCTTTGTACCTCTGGTAGAATTCGGCTGTGAATCTGTCTGGGCCTGGGCTTTTTTTTGGTTGATAGGCTATCAATTACTGCCTCAATTTCAGAACTCGTTATTAGTCTGTTCAGGGATTCAACTTTTCCCTCGTTTAGTCTTGGGAGGGTGTATGTGTTCAGGAATGTATCCATTTCTTCTAGATTTTCTAGTTTATTTGCGTAGAGTTGTTTATAGTATTCTCTGATGGCAGTTTCTATTTCTTTGGGATCAGTGGTGATATCCCCTTTATCATTTTTTATTGTGTCTATTTGATTCTTCTCTCTTTTCTTCTTTGTTAGTCAAGCTAGCAGTCTATTTTCTTAATCTTTTCAAAAAACAGCTCCTGGATTCACTGATTTTTTGAAGGGTTTTTCATGTCTCTATCTCCTTTAGTTCTGCTCTGATCTTAATTATTTCTTGTCTGCTAGCTTTTGAATTTGTTTGCTCTTGCTTCTCTAGTTCTTTTAACTGTGATGTTAGGGTGTCGATTTTAGATCTTTCCTGCTTTCTCCTGTGGGCATTTAGTGCTATAAATTTCCCTCTAAACACTGCTTTGGCTGCGTCCCAGAGATTCTGGTATGTCGTGTCTTTGTTCTCACTGGTTTCAAAGAACTTATTTATTTCTGCCTTAATTTCGTTATTTACCCAGTAGTCATTCAGGAGAAGGTTGTTCAGTTTCCATGTAGTTGTGCAGTTCTGAGTTTCTTAATCCTGAGTTCTAATTTGATTGCACTGTGGTCTGAGGGACGTTATGATTTCTATTCTTTTGCATTTGCTGAGGAGTGTTTTACTTCCAATTATGTGGTCAATTTTAGGACAAGTGCCATGTGGTGCTGAGAAGAATGTATATTCTGTTGCTTGGGGGTGGAGAGTTCGGTAGATGTCTATTAGGTCCTGTTGGTCCAGAGCTGAGTTCAAGTCCTGAATATCCTTGTTAATTTTCTGTCTCATTGATCTGTCTGATATTGACAGTGGGGTGTTAAAGTCTCCCACTATTATTGCGTGGGAGTGTAAGTGTCTTTGTAGGTCTCTAAAGACTTGCTTTACGAATCTGGGTGCTCCTGTATTGGGTGCATATATATTTAGCATAGCTAGCTCTTCTTGTTGCATTGATCTCTTTAACATTATGTAATGTCCTTCTTTGTCTTTTTTGATCTTTGTTGGTTTGAAGTCTGTTTTATCAGATACTAGGATTGCAACCCCTGCTTTTTTTTTTTTTTTGGCTTCCATTTGCTTGGTAAATACTCCTCCATCCCTTTGTTTTGAGCCTATGTGTGTCTTTGCACATGAGTTGGGTCTCCTAAATACAGCACACCGATGGGTCTTGACTCTTTATCCAATTTGTCAGTCTGTGTCTTTTAATTGGGGCATTTACACTTAAGGCTAATATTGTTATGTGTGAATCTGATCTTGTCATTATGATGCTAGCTGGTTATTTTGCCCATTAGTTGATGCAGTTTCTTCATAGTGTCAATGGTCTTTACAATTTGGTATGTTTTTACAGTGGCTGGTACTGGTTTTCCTTTCCATATTTAGAGCTTCCTTCAGGAGCTCTTGTAAGGCAGGCCTGGTGATGACAAAATATCTCAGCAATTGCTTGTCTGTAAATAATTTTATTTCTCCTTCACTTATGAAGCTTAGTTTGGCTGGATATGAAATTCTGGGTTGAAAATTCTTTTCTTTAAGAATGTTGAATATTGGCCCCCACTCTCTTCTGGCTTGTAGGGTTTCTGCTGAGAGATCTGCTGTTAGTCTGATAGGCTACCCTTTGAGGGTAACTCAGTCTTTCTCTCTGGCTGCCCTTAACACTTTTTCCTTCATTTCAACCTTGGTGAATCTGACGATTATATGTCTTGGGGTTGCTCTTCTCAAGGAGTATCTTTGTGGTGTTCTCTGTATTTCCTGAATTTGAATGTTGGCCTGTCTTGCTAGGTTGGGGAAGTTCTCCTGGAAAATATCCTGAAGAGTGTTTTCCAACTTGGTTCCATTCTCCCCATCACTTTCAGGTACACCAATCAAACGCAGGTTTGGTCTTTTCACATAGTCCCATATTTCTTGGAGGCTTTGTTTGTTCCTTTTTCATTCTTTTTTCTCTAATCTTGTCTTCATGCTTTATTTCATTAAGTTGATCTTCAATCTCTGATATGCTTTCTTCTGCTTGATCGATTTGGCTATTGATACTTGTGTATGCTTCACAAAGTTCTTGTGCTTTGTTTTTCAGCTCCATCAGCTCTTTCACATTCTTCTCTAAACTGGTTATTCTAGTTAGCAATTGCCCTAACCTTTTTTCAAGGTTCTTAGCTTCCTTGCATTGGGTTAGAACATGCTTCTTTAGCTTGGAGGAGTTTGTTATTACCCACCTTCTGAAGCCTACTTCTGTTAATTCATCAAACTCATTCTCCATCCAGTTTTGTTCCCTTGCTGGCGAGGAGTTGTGATCCTCTGGAGAAGAAGAGGCGTTCTTGTTTTTGGAATTTTCAGCCTTTTTGCGCTGGTTTTTCTTTATCTTCGTGGATTTATCTACCTTTGGTCTTTGATGTTGGTGACCTTTGGATGGGGTTTCTGTATGGACGTCCTTTTTGTTGATGGTGATCCTATTCCTTTCTGTTTGTTAGTTTTTGTTCTAACAGGCCCCTCTGCTGCAGGTCTGCTGGAGTTTGCTGGAGGTCCACTCCAGACCCTATTTGCCTGGGTATCACCACTGGAGGCTGCAGATCAGCAAAGATTACCACCTGTTCCTTCCTCTGGAAGCTTCATCCCAGAGGGGTATCCACCAGATGTCAGCTGGAGCTCTCCTGTATGAGCTGTCTGTCGACCCCTGATGGGAGGTGTCTCCTAGTCAGGAGGCACGGGGGTCAGGGACCCACTTGAGGAGGCAGTCTGTCCCTTAGCAGAGCTCGAGTGGTGTGCTGGGAGATCTGCTGCTCTCTTCAGAGCCGGCAGGCAGGAATGTTTAAGTCAGCTGAAGCTGTGCCCACAGATGCCCATTCCCCCAGGTGCTCTGTCCCAGGAAGATGGGAGTTTTATCTATAAGCCCCTGACTGGGGATGCTGCCTTTCTTTCAGAGATGCCCTGCCCAGAGAGAAGGAATCTAGAGAGGTAGTCTGGCTATGGAAATTTAGAACATTTACATCTTTTCTCTTTTCTAATAAAAACTTTTGCAGGTACAAATTCCTCTCTATATACTGCTTTAGCTGCATTCCACAAATGTAACAGACTGTGTTTACACTTTCATTCATTCCAAAATGTTTTTCTAATTTCCCTTATTTCTCCTTTGACCTATGTGTAATTTAGATGTTGCTTAATTTCCAAATGTTTGGGGGAATTTTTCTAGTTATCTTTTTGTTAATGATTTCTATTGCAATTCCACAGAAACTCTGGCTCACGTCTATAACCCTAGCATTTTGGGAGGCCAAAGTGGATGAATCACTTGAGGCCAGGAATTTAAGACCAGCCTAGGCAACATAGTGAGACCTCATCTCTACTAAAAATTAAAAAAAAAAAAAATTAGCTGAATGTGGTAGAGTGTACCTGTAGTCCCAGCTACTCAGGAGGCTGAGGTGAGAGAATCATTTGAGCCCAGAGATAGAGGCTGCAGTGAGCTACAATCCCAACACTTCAGCCTGGGTGACAGAGCAAGCGAGACCCTGTCTTCAAAACAGAACACATGACATATGGTTTCAAATCTTTTAAATGTATTGAGACTTGTTCTATTATCCAGCATATAGTCTATTTTACTGAATGTTCCAAGGGCACTTCAATGTGTAATCTGCAGTTGATATGTATCATGTTCTCTAAGTACCAATTATGTCAAGTTAATTGACAGTGTTATTCAAGTCTTCTATAACCTTCTTATTTTTCTGTATACTTGTTTTATTGATATTGAAAGGCAAATGTTGAAATCTGCAACTATAATTGTGGATTTGCACATTTCCCATTTTAGTTCTGACCATTTGTACTTCATGTATTTTAGAACTCTGTTGCTAAACACCTACAAATGCAGGACTGTTCTGTCTTCTTGAAGAATTTACATGTTTGTCTTTATGAAATATTTCTATCTCTGTTAATATTCCTTGTTTGTGTGAAATCTACTTTGTTTTTGGGTTTTTTTTTTCTCTTGACTTTTATTTTAGATTCAGGGGTATGTGTGCAGGTTTGTTGCATGCGTAAATTGCGTGTTGCCGAGGTTTGATGTACAAAGAATCCTTTGTATGCAAAGTACCTAATACTTTGCATACACCTTCATTCATTCCAAAATGTTTTTTTCTGATTTCCCTTATTTCTCCTTTGACCTGTGTGTACGCATAGTACCTAATAGGTAGTTTTTCAACCCAACCCCGCCTCCCAACCTCCCCTCTCAAGTAGTACCCCCTGTCTATTGTTCCCATCTTTGTGTCCACATGTATTCATTGTTTAGCTCCCACTTACAAGAACATGCGGTGTTTCATTTTCTGTTCCTGTGTTAATTCACATGAAGTCGACTTCGATCTTAATATAGCCACTCCAGTTTTCTTTTCATGAGACTACATAATTTATTCACATTTAGTAGATGACCTAAATATTAATTTTGTTCTTTCCATCTATATTTTGTTTGTTGCTTATTTACATTGCTCTCTTTTCTTTTTCCTTATTTTACTAGTGTGATAAAGTTGGCGTGCAGGCCAGGTACGCTGGCTCATGCCTGTAATCGCAGCACTTTGGGAGGCTGAGGCAGGCAGATCACTTGAGGCCAGGAGTTCGAGACCAGCCTGGCCAAAATGGCGAAACTCCATCTCTACTAAAACTACCAAAAAATTATCTGGGCATGGTGGCACACTCCTATAATCCCAAGTACTCTTGAGTCTGAGGCACAAGAATCATTTGAACCCAGGAGGCGGAGGTAACACTGAGCCAAGATCCCACCACTGCACTCCAGCCTGGGTGACAGAGCAAGATTCTGTCTCAAAAAGAAAAAAAGAAAAAAGTTGTCATTCATTTCATTTCCCCCTTTACCTGGAAATACTACTGAACTTTTCCATCTTATCAATGGTTATCTTCCCTTTCCTGCCTTTCACTGTTGAAAGCATATGTCTTTACTATAATTTATAAACAAGATGTCAAACATTTCCCCTACAAAAATACTCCACACTTACCCACTCCTTTCCTATTCCCAACCCCAAAAATGAGACTCCTAAGATACATCTACCCTTTCTTCCTTTCCCTTCCCTCTCTACTCTATGACACCTTTGGCACATTTTTTTCTGCAGAGCATCCTAATTCCTATATTTTGCAGAGACAGCTCAATACTCATTCAAAACTTTTCCTTATGTCCATTCTATTAAAGAGGTCTAATGTAGCACTTATATATTCCCAGCCCAACCTCATCCATTACGATATAATTTTAAACATAAAAACAAGTTCACTGTTCACCGCTCTTCACTCTCTTCTTCAATTTTATAGTCTCTGTTCTGCTTCATTTATTTGCCTCAAATAGGATACTTGAGTGGTATACTCTGAATTTATATAGATCCTTAAACATCTTTCTTTTACCTGTACAGATAAATACCTTGGCTGGATATGGTATTCTTGGATTGCAGTCATTTTTCTCTCAGTAGCTCTAGATGCTAATCCACTGCTTTTTAGCTACAGTGTTCAAATTTGAAATGTGATACCTGTCTTTTTTTCTCCTGTGGCTTACTGCCACATCCATCCGTTTCCTTTTTCTTTTCTTTTCTTTTCATTTCAATAGTTGTGGAGATACAGATAGTTTCTGGTTACACAGATGGGTTCTTTAGCGGTGACCTCTGAGATTTTAGTGCACCCATCATCATTCAAGCAGTGTACACTGTACACAATACGTAGTCTTTTCTTCCATCTGTTTCTTTCTCTCCTTCTGGAAGTCATATTATTCAAATTTTGGACATCTCAAATTTCTCCTCCAAGTTTCTTTGCTTTCATGATTTCTATCTTTATACATTTGCTCTCCAAAAATTTCTTGCACTGCCCCTCTTTTAATTCATGTACTGAATTGTTTAATGAGGAAATCATAGATTTCAGCTCCAGAAAGTTATTTGTTTGAAAAAGTACATTTAACTCTCTTTAAATGTTCTAGATTTTTAATTTAAAATTTGGAAAGCCAGTCTCACATGGATGTATTCAAGCAGACAGGCTCTGAGTACACTGTGTGTTAACCTATAGGAATCTTCTCCGTTCTCAGATCTCCCAGTACTGCTTCAGCCTCAAGCACAGGTTAAGACTCTGCCCAACCATTCAGCAATACACTGGCCTTGTAGAGATCAAGAAGGCCTACATACACACTACATAAATGGGTGCTATGTCCCATCTTCCAGGATCTGCAGCTTCATGGTCCTTGCCTCTTGCTACAATGGCCAGCTATACACCAGTTCTCTCTGCTTGGAAGGATCACTACAGAACCAGATCCTACAGTTTTCTTTCTTTTTTTTTTTTTTATATATAAGGATGTTTATTGAAGCACTATTTATCAGTTGGAAAGTTAGAAATAACCTCAAGCTTCATCAACAGGAACTGGTTAAATATATTATGATCCATCTCCACAACAAAATGCTAAGCAGTCTAAAAACATGATTAGAAAGTTGAGCACTGACTGAATATTTTATTACATGTTAAATTTTTTAGGCATGATAATACTATTGTGGTTATGTATTTTTTAAGTACCCAAACTACTGAAATATTTATAAATGAAATAATATGCTGCTTTAAAATAATATGGGGGAGAAGGTGGGTAGGAGTACAGATGAAACAGGATTCATTATGGGGGATAATTGTTCAGTAGAGAGATTATTAACCCTTTTATCTACTTTTTAATAAGAGTTTTATTGAGCTTTAATTCACATTCCGTAAGACTTACTCTTTTGAAGTGTACAAGTGACTTTTAGTATGTTTCACAGAGTTGAACAAACATCTGCACTATCTAATTTGGGACGTTAGCAGTCACTCCCTGCCAGCAAGCATTAGTCTACCTTCTATCTCTATGGATTTGCTTATTCCAGACATTTTATATAAATGGAATCATACAACCATGTGTCTTTTCGTGTTTGGCTTTTTTCACATAGCATAATGTGATTTTAAGTTGGGCCGGGACTTGTCCCTTATGGGCTTTTTCCTCGGGAAGGTTTTCTGAGATACCAAGCACGGAGCCTGCAGGCAGGGGAGCAACCGGTAGAAATTTGGGGTCAGAGAAGTTACTTGTCTTGTCCAAGGATGAAATTCGAATGCAGTGCTGGGTCCCGTTATACCACGTCCCTCAACTGGATTGCCAACATCCTGGACATCTTAGTGAATCAGTCATTCCCACAACACAAAAACCAGTCTAACAAAGTATGGATACAAAGATGGTTATAAAGTTGCTTGTATGTACAGAACACACTGAAGATAGCCTGTGCTCCACTGTGAAGAAACCAAATCTAATTAGATGGTAGAGGAGAACTCAGCTAAGTTAATCAATATAGATAAGTAGCAATGCTTCAGATGTTGAAAATAAAGGTCACGATTCTATGTGCAAAGAGGCCACCTGTAGAAGCTGGAAATATGTGCTGTATCTTAACCTGAGTGGGAAGCTACGAAGACTCCTGGGGCTCCAGGGCCCAAAAAATGCAGACTGTGAAAGAAAGCAGACTAAGCCTGCTGAGTTGTTAAAAATTTGTTTAATTTTTTTTTTTATGTTTGAGACGGAGTCTCACTTCATCACCCAGGCTGGAGTGCAGTGGCACCGTGTTGGCTGACTGCAACCTCCGTCTCCTGGGTTCAAGCAATTCTCTTGCCTCAGCCTCCCAAGTAGCTGGGATTACAGGTGCCCACCACTACACCTGGCTAATTTTTATACTTATAGTAGAGACGGGGTTTCACCATGTTGGCCAGGCTGGTCTCGAACTTGTGACCTCAGGTGATCCACCCTCCTTGGCCTCCCAAAAATTTTGTTTAATTTTTAAAAGGCTTTTCTGGTTCTCATTGTAAAAGCAATGGTCATTGCAATGGTTTCTGCATGGTCAGTGCAGAAAATTTGGAAAATGGAGAAAAAGTAAAAAGAATTCTCAAATTATTTAAACTTATGATTCCTAATGATAACCACATATGCACTTTGGTGTATGGCTTAGTAGTTTTTTCCTATGCATGGATAAATAGATTTTTTTTAAAGTGGAGATAATATTGTACATATTATATGTAACCTATTTTTTAAACCTAATAATTAGCCTTTTCTCGTGCTATTAATCTTTTTCTATGGCATAACTTTTAAAACTCTTTTTTCATGGGGAATTTAAACTTAAAAGGTAGACAGATTACAGGAAACAACAGATGCTGGGGAGGACATGGAGAAATAGGAACGCTTTTACACTGTTGGGAGTGTAAATTAGTTCAACCGTTGTGGAAGACAGTGTGGCGATTCCTCAAAGATCTAGAACCAGAAATACCATTTGACCCAACAATCCCATTACTGGGTATATACCCAAAGGATTATAATTCATTCTACTGTAAAGGCACATGCACATGTATGTTTATTATGGCACTGTTCACAATAGCAAAGACTTGGAACCAACCCAAATGCCCATCAATGATAGACTGGATAAAGAAAATGTGGCACATATACACCATGGAATGCTACACAGCCATAAAAAAGGATGAGTTCATGTCCTTTGCAGGGACATGGGTGAAGCTGGAAACCATCATTCTCAGCAAACTAACACAAGAACAGAAAACCAGATCCTACAGTTTTCTGTAGGGCCCCGCAGCAGGCTGGCTCAAGAGAACCAGAGAGCTAGTAGGTAGCTGAGGGAGTCAAGGAAGCAGGCCTCATTCAGGCTGCCATTTTCTTCATATCCCCCTTGGCTCCTCCTTATTATTAAAGTGCATCTGAGTTTGGGTTTTCTGTTGTTTCCAATCAAAAGTATCCCAACTACTTATTTTACTAATTCTAAAATGAACAATTTTAAAACTAATAGCTCAGAAATCAGGATATATTATAAAATCTATGGCATGCCACAGTTTAAATGACAGTGTTTTTTCTCAGTTCACAAAATAAGAGTGCATTTTACACTCAATGGCACCTTGGTAAGCTGCAGTTATACGTATGGCAACTCTAAACCTGGAGAAGCCCAACTCTCTGCTTACTCTTATATACCAACAAGCAGCTAGATAAGGCTAGAGACAAAATATTATGCTATTTGGTCTCTTTTCACACTTATAAACACACATCTCATACAGACTCTCCGCACTGTGGGTCAATCAATAATTCATTTCCCTGGTCAATTCACTTTTTACACCTTATTTTCTCTCAATTTGCTAAACCTTCTTCCCTCTCTTCAATTTTAGCTGATAATTAGCTGATATCTTACTTGTTTCATATCTACTTTCTTCCAGTGCAATGTAAACTTCACAACAGCATGGATTTTTGCCTGTTCTGTTGACTATTTCCAGTGCCTAAAAGTATGCCTGGCATTCTAATGGCACTCAGTGAATAGTTGTAGAAAGAATAACTAATGAGGAGAGAACTATATATTTTTTTCCCATGACTAAATGCACGTACTATGCCTCTCCTCTAGTTACAAAGGATAAATGGTTTAAGCCCATTCAGAGTTGCATCGTCTACCTGGGTCCAGAATTCTCAAACTCCACCCAATCAAGGGCATCACCAGACCAAACCTAATTCTAACTTTCACCCAATACTTTTACCTTCTGCTGGATCAGCTTACAGAAGAGCTGTTGCATTCTCTTCTAAAAAAACAAACCCCCTTCTGCTCATATTCTTCAGGCTACTGTCTACTTCTCTTCTCACTTTTATATAAAAAATCTTGTTGAAAGTTGTCTACTTTGACTCAATGCTCTCACCAAATTTCTTAACCAACTCCAACTGGACTTTAACCCTTACCCTCCTCTGAAATCCCTTTATTAAGGTACATAAGGTAAATCTCACAGCATTCAAAAAGCTAGTAACTCTCTTCTTAAAACCCTTTTCACTTGGTCCCCAAAACCCTCCACTCTGGATTCCCTGGCAGCTTCTTCTCAGTTCACTTTAGTAAATCTACCTGCCTTCCCAATCTCTAAAAAGTAGCCTCGCTTCTCTACCTAAAGCCTGTTTCTCTGCCTAATTCACTAGGTAGGTGATCTCACACTGTCTCAAAGCTTTACATACCACCTATATACATTTTTAACCACCAAATTTTCATCTCTAGAATGGTAACACCATTCTCCTGATTATTCCAAGTAAAAACTAGGAATAATGCAAGCATAACATCTGTTTAAAAAATTCTATTTTTCCTTTCTAACATTTATCACTTTATTACTTTTCTTGCCTTACTGCAGCTGTTTTAGACGTTCATTACAATACTGAAAATGAAAAGAACTTGTGATGGAAGTATCCTGTCTTATTCCCAATCTCAGGGAAAAGCTTTCAGTATTTCCCCACACAGTGTGATAGTTATCCTAAATTCTTTGTACAAGCTCCTAATATATTAAGGAAGTATCTTTTTTTCTTTTATTTTTTTGAGACAGTGTCTTGCTTTGTCACCAAGGCTGGAATGCAGTGGTGGGATCATGGCTCACTGCGGCCTCAACCAACCGGGCTCAAGCGATCCTCCCACTTCAGCCTCCCCAACAGCTGGGACTAGAGGCACACACCACCATGCCTGGATAATTTTGTCATTTTTGTAGAGACAGTCTCACTATGTTGCCCACGGTGGTCTCAAACTCCTGGCCTCAAGCAATCTTCCCACCTCAGCCTCCCAAAGTGTTAGGATTACAGGCATGAGTCACCTCACCCAGCCAAGGAAGTATTTTCCATTCCTAGTTTGTTAAAGGTTTTTATCATTAACGTATTGAATTCTATTTTTTAAAATTATCTATCTACTAAAATAATCATTTATACTGTAAATGTTGCGAATGATACTGATTTTCAAATATTAAATCAACCTTAAATTTCTCAAATAAACCCACTTGGTCATGATTATCTCAGTATTTCACTAAACACAGTCTGCAAATATTCTGTTTACATTTTTTCCATCTATGTTCATAAGACAGACTGACTTGCTGTTTTCCTTTTCTTTCAGGTTTTTATAACAAAATGATGCTGGCTGTATGAAAACAAGAATAGAATTTCACCTATTTTCCTATGCTCTGGAAGAGTCTGTAACATTGGTGAAATACCTATAATAGTTGGGAAGAATTGACTGGTGAAGCTTTCTGGACATGGAGTTTTCTTTTTATAAGTTGGTTTTTCTAGAAATTTGCCATGTCATCTAAAATTTTCAATGTATTGGAATAGTCATTAATAATATCCTCCTGAGGGTGGTTCCAAGATGGCTGAATAGGAACAGCTCCAGTCTACAGCTCCCAGCATGAGCGACACAGAAGATGGGTGATTTCTGCATTTCCAACTGAGGTACCAGGTTCATCTCACTGGGGCTTGTCAGATGACATGATTGTATATCTAGAAAACCCCATCGTCTCAGCCCAAAATCTCCTTAAGCTGATAAGCAACTTCAGCAAACTCTCAGGATACAAAATCAATGTGCAAAAATCACAAGCATTCTTATACACCAATAACAGACAAACAGAGAGCCAAATCATGAGTGAACTCCCATTCACAATTGCTTCAAAGAGAATAAAATACCTAGGAATCCAACTTACAAGGGACGTGAAGGACCTCTTCAAGGAGAACTACAAACCACTGCTCAACGAAATAAAAGAGGGCACAAACAAATGGAAGAACATTCCATGCTCATGGATAGAAGAATCAATATGGTGAAAAAGGTAATTTATAGATTCAATACCATCCCCATCAAGCTGCCAATGACTTTCTTCACAGAATTGGAAAAAACTACTTTAAAGTTCATATGGAACCAAAAAAGAGCCCACATCGCCAAGTCAATCCTAAGCCAAAAGAACAAAGCTGGAGGCATCACACTACCTGACTTCAGACTATACTACAAGGCTACAGTAACCAAAACAGCATGGTACTGGTACCAAAACAGAGATTTAGACCAACGGAACAGAACAGAGCCTTCAGAAATAATACCACACATCTACAACTATCTGATCTTTGACAAACCTGACAAAAACAAGAAATGGGGAAAGGATTTCCTATTTAACAAATGGTGCTGGGAAAACTGGCTAGCCATATGTAGAAAGCTGAAACTGGATCCCTTCCTTACACTTTATACAAAAATTAATTCAAGATGGATTAAAGACTTAAATGTTAGACCTAAAACCATAAAAACCCTAGAAGAGAACCTAGGCAATACCATTCAGGACACAGGCATGGGCAAGGACTTCATGACTAAAACACCGAAAGCAATGGTAACAAAAGCTAAAATTGACAAATGGGATCTAATTAAACTAAAGAGCTTCTGCACAGCAAAAGAAACTACCATCAGAGTGAACAGGAAACCTACAGAATGGGAGAAAATTTTTGCAACCTACTCATCTGACAAAGGGCTAATATCCAGAATCTACAAAGAACTCAAACAAATTTACAAGAAAAAAACAAACAACCCCATCAAAAAGTGGGCAAAGGATATGAACAGACACTTCTCAAAAGAAGACATTTATGCAGCCAACAGACACGTGAAAAAATGCTCATCATCACTGGCCATCAGAGAAATGCAAATCAAAACCACCATGAGATATCATCTCACACCAGTTAGAATGGCGATCATTAAAAAGTCAGGAAACAACGGGTGCTGGAGAGGATGTGGAGAAATAGGAACACTTTTATACTGTTGGTGGGACTGTAAACTAGCTCAACCATTGTGGAAGTCAGTGTGGCGATTCCTCAGGGATCTAGAACTAGAAATACCATTTGACCCAGCCATCCCATTACTGGGTATATACCCAAAGGAATATAAATCATGCTGCTACAAAGACACATGCACACGTATGTTTATTGAGGCACTACTCACAATAGCAAAGACTTGGAACCAACCCAAATGTCCAACAATGATAGACTGGATTAAGAAAATGTGGCACATATACACTGTGGAATACTATGCAGCCATAAAAAATGATGAGTTCATGTCCTTTGTAGGGACATGGATGAAGCTGGAAACCATCATTCTCAGCAAACTATCGCAAGGACAAAAAACCAAACACAGCATGTTCTCACTCATAGGTGGGAATTGAACAATGAGAACACCTGGACACAGGAAGGGGAACATCACACCCTGGGGCCTGTTGTGGCGTGGGGGGAGGGGGGAGGGATAGCATTAGGAGATATACCTAATGTTAAATGACAAGTTAATGGGTGCAGCACACCAACATGGCACATGTATACGTATGTAACAAACCTGCATGTTGTGCACATGTACCCTAGAACTTAAAGTATAATAAAAAAAAAAAATATATATATATATATATATATAAAAGAAAAAAGAACACATAACCCAGTGCAGGCCTTCCAAAAAAAAAAAAAGTCAGGTAAAACTAGCTTTTCTTTTTGCCAAAAACAGTTTATACTTGGCCTCACAAAAACAGAAGCATAATTTTGAAATTAATTGATGTTATTAACTCCTCTGATATTTAGATTGAAATAATTATAAGGCTGTACAATTAAAACATTTTTCAGATTGTAGTTCTAACCATGCTTAAACATGTAGTAAACAAATGCCCCACACATTTCATATCTAGTCAGTGAAACCCAGGTTTTGTCATGATTAAGATTGTCAAGAAAATAAGCTACGTGTGATTTTTTCAAATGTCCTAAAACATGTCTTTCTTCGTTGTTGATCTGTGTGATAACTACGCCTTGCTGACTTCTTTTGAACAGAACATATTAGTATTTTGTATCTAATTAATAGATTTAATAATCAATCACCTCTGGTACAACTATGGAGAATTCCTCAAATGATAAACAGAGTTAATGTCTAAATAGAAACAATCTACCAGATTTATTCCAATTGTTTCTTGTATAGTTTCTCGACCTCCTATGAGTATTTACTGTGTTGTGCCATATAGTTTAAAAATTATACAACAAAACAAACTGAAAATGTAGCTTATATTAAAAAAAAAACCTACTAAAAAAAATCCTCCTGATTTTGTCAGTGTCTGTTAAGATCTACCGTGATCTCCCCTTTCCTATTACTGATACCAGTCATTTGTTTTCTTTTTGCCTTTATCAATCTCTCCAGCAGTTGATCAGTTTTATTAGTCTTTTCTAATGTTTGTCTTTGTTAATCCTCGCTTCTGTACCTGTTTTATATTCAACTAATTTATCTTTATTGTTTTCTTCCCTTTAGGAACATATTGTACAGTGCTTTTTCTACTTGGAGTTGAAAACTTAGATATTCACCTTTCTTTTTTAATGTATGCATTTAAAGCTACAATTTTAATTCTCAGAATGCCATTAGCTGTATCTCAAAGGTTTGACAGATAATACTTTCATCGCCATTCCACTCAAAACATTTTCAAATTTCCAAGGTGATTTCTTCTTTGATTCATGAATATTTAGAAGTATACAGAAACTATATAGTGCAATGTTCTGTATATGTCAATTAGGCCAAGTGTTTTCAAATCTTTTTGTTCTACGAACTACTGAGAGAGTATTAAAATTACTTTTCCCATTAGCAGTGGATGCTAAAAAGTAGAAGGAAATTCTGATGAGCAGCAGCATATGTGCATGGTCTTAAAGCATCTCCCCACAGACTGCTTATTGATTGCAAATAGGAAAAAAATAGTAATTATATAGTGGAAAAATAAGACAGCACCTCAAACAGGAGAATAAAATCAACATTAAAAAAATCAGACAGATGGGCAACGTATGCCTCCAGATCTAAGAAGAACACCCCTTCACCTATGCAGTATTTTGGTCAAGGATTCGTAACTTGAATCTAATGATGGGAAAACAAAACAAACGCAAAATAAGGAACTGGATTAAAAGAGGGGGAATGTATTAATCAAAGAATGTCAATATCATTAAAAAACAAAAAATAAAGAAAAAGAAAGGCAGTACAAATATTCTAAATCAGGGACCGGCAAACTACAGCTGCCAGGCCAAATCAGGCCTGCTGTCTGCTTATACAGATAAAGTTTTCCTGAAACACAGCTGTATCCTTTCACATACTTATAGTCAATGGCTGCTTCTCTCTACAACAGCAGAGGTGATTAGATGTGACAGAGATCTATGACACAGACAAAGCCAACAATATTTACTATCAGGCCCTGTAAAGAAAATGTTTGTTGACCTCTGTTCTAGATTAAAGTGTGGCAATCAAATGCAATACCTAACCCTAGACTGGATCCTGTACTGCACGTTGAAAATTACACAAAGGACATTGCAGGTCAACTGACAGAATGAAACACAAACAGTAGATTAAAGCATTGTACAATGTCAAATATATTGAAGGTAAAAACTGTACCTTAAGACTCTTAAGACTATCACTATTCTCAGAAAATACATACTAAAGTATTTTGGGTCAAGAGCCACGATATATATAGTTTACCCTTGAAAGGTTCAGAGGGAAAAATTATGTATACACACACATATCTGTGTATGTGTGCTTATGTGGAGGGAGGGGTGAGGAATGATAAAGCAAATGTAGTGAGATGTTAACAATGAATTTGGGTAGAATACAAAGTTGTGCTTTGCACTGTTTTTATTCTTGCACTTTTCTGTGAGCTTAAAATTATTTACAAATAAAAAATTTGTGGCTGGGCGTGGTGGCTCACACCTGTAATCTCAGCACTTTGGGAGGCCAAGGCAGGTGGATAGCTTGAGGTCAGGAGGTCAAGACCAGCCTGGCCAACGTGGCAAAACCCCACCTCTACTAAAAATACAAAAATTAGCCGGGCATGGTGGTGCACACCTGTGGTCCCAGCTACTCGGGAGGCTGAGGCTGAGGCAGACGAATCACTTGAACCTAGGGGCTGGAGGTTGCAGTGAGCCGAGATCACACCACTGCACTCCAGCCTGGGCGACAGAGCAAGACTCCTGTCTCCAAAAAAAAAAAAAAAATTGTTAACATGTACCTCTGACATCTTTCACTTTATATAACATAAGGTTACATTATTAGGTACACACACATTTAGAATCATTTTTTCTGGTAGACTGTGCTTTCATCATTATGAAACGTTACTATTTTGCCTCTAGCAATCCTTCTTAAGTCTATTTTGTCAGATATAGACATAAACCAGCTGTCTGTGGGTTAAGAGTGTGATATACCTTTTTCTCTATCCTTTTGCTTTCAATATTTGACTCATTACAGTTAAGTACAGTTTTGTATCATAGTTCATTGGTTTTCCTAAACCCACTTAGACAAATCTGTCATTGAACTGGTATCTTGAGTCAGTTTTCATTCCAGTGCTGACATAACTGGCATTAAATCTACTGTCTCGCTATTTGTTTTCTATCTGCCTACTTACTCTATGTTCCTTTTCCTATCTTGTTTTACCTTTTTTTGGATTAAATATTCTTATTATTCCATTTTTTTCTTTATAAACTATTATGTTATGCATCCTTTTACTATTTACTTTTATTTTGCTATTACCTTTACTTTTACTACTATTAGTGATTACCCTAGAAATTATAACTTGCATCCCTGATTTATCAAGGCCTAATATAAATTAGTACTTATACCATTTCCTGGGCAATTCAAGGACCTTAAGCTTCACTTCTTCCATCCACCTATACCAGCTGCTTGTGCTTTGTTGGTGTATATTTCAATTCTATATTCTAAATCCCAGAGGACATTATTATTGCATACAATTAACATTCAGTTAAGTTTACCCACACTTTATTCTTTCCACTGCTCCTCATTCCTCTTAGAATCTCTGTATTTCCTTCTGCAGTCATTCTCCTCTGCTTACGGAACTCCCTTTACTGTAAGGCTGCCGGTGATTAATCCCCTCTGTATTTGTTCATCTGAAAATATCTTTAGTTCTTCATTTTTGAAGTATATTTTCTACTGGATATAGAAGGGTAGGGAACTACAGCCCGTGGACTAGTAGCCTGTTTCTGTAAGTAAGGTTTTATTGGAACACAGCCATGCCCATTCGCTTATGATTGTTTATGACTGCTTTCATGCAACAATGCAGAATAGCTGTGGCAGAGATCTTACATGGCCCAGGAGTCTAAGATATATACTACCTGGCCCTTTAAAAAGAAAGTTTGTCAACTCTTGGTATACAATTCTATGCTGGCATTTATTTTCTTTTCTGCACTTTAAAACTGTCATTCCATTGTTTGGGTTTCCATTGTTTATAATAAGAAGGTAGTTTTCAGTCTTGTCCTTGCTTTTTTTTTTTTAATAAGAAAATAAATTTTTAAAACTGAGACAAGGTCTCACTATGTTACCAGGCTGGTCTCAAAACTCCTGGGCTCAAGGAATCATCCCGCCTCAGCCTCCCAAAGTACTGGGATTACAGGTATGAGCCATCACGCCCAGCCTTTTTCTTGCTTGTGTAAAGATAATGTGTCTCAATCCACTGGTTGCTTTAAGATTTTTAACTTTCACCAGGCGCGGTGGCTCATGTCTGTAATCCTAGCACTTTGGGAGGCCGAGACGGGTGGATCACGAGGTCAAGAGATCGAGACCATCCTGGCCAACATGGTGAAACCCCGTTTCGCTAAAACTAATTTTCGTATTTCACTAAAAATACAAAAATTAGCTGAGCGTGGTGGCGCGCCTGTAGTCCCAGCTATTCAGGAAGCTGAGGCAGGAGAATTGCTTGAACCTGGGAGGTGGAGGTTGCAGTGAGCCGAGATCCAGCCTGGCAACAGAGCAAGACTCTGTCTCAAAAAAAAAAAAAAAAAAAAAAATATTTTTAACTTTGTCTTTGGTTGTTAGCAAAAATGCTGAGTATGCTTTTCCTTCCTCATCCTGTTTGGTGTTTGTTGCATTTCCTGAATTGGCAGCTTTAAGCATCTTATCACTTTGTGAACATTCTAGGACATTATCTCATTAAGTATTGCTTCTGCTCCACTCTTTTTTTCTCCTTTTGGAGTTCTAATTACAACTGTGTCCCACATCATTCAAACTCTTTTCGGTATGTGCAAAAGTAATTGCAGTTTTTGCCATTTTTTGACTCCAATTTTTTTTTTTTTTTTGAGACGGAGTTTCGCTCTGTCGCAGGCTGGAGTGCAGTGGCGCGATCTCGGTTCACCGCATCCTCCGCCTCCCGGGTTTAAACAATTCTCTGCCTCAGCCTCCCAAGTAGCTGGGATTACAGGCACCCACCACCATGCCCGGCTAAATTTTTTTTGTATTTTTTAGTAGAGACAGGGTTTCACTATCTTGGCCAGGCTGATCTTGAACTCCTGACCTCATGATCCACCCACCTCGGCCTCCCAAAATGCTGGGATTACAGGCATGAGCCAATGTGCCCGGCCTTTAACTCCAATTATTAAATATTAGGTTGGTGCAAAAGTAATTGTGGTTTTTGCCATTAAAAAAAAAAAAACAAAACCTCCCGGCAAAAACCGCATTTACTTTTGCACCAACCTAGTATTTTTCATTCCTTTGTCTCTGTGCTTCTATACAGGTATTTTTTCCCAACATATCTTATAGTTAACTAATTCTCTTCTAAGGCTCTTCAAAATCAATTATTGTATTTCTAGTTTCCAATGCTTCTTTTTATACTTTCTATTTCTCTACTGAAATTATTGATCTTGTTATATAAATTCTTAAAGATACTAATCATTTATTTTAAAGTCTATTTCTGATCATTCTAATAAAGATACTAATCATTTATTTTAAAGTGTATTTCTGATCATTCTAAAAACTGACTTGTGTATGTGTGTGTGTGTGTGTCCACTAATGGCCTTTTCTGGTCTGTTCCAAAATCCAATCCAGAACCCCACAGTGCATTTTTACTTTTTTTTTTTTTTTTGAGATGTAGTCTCACTTGGTCACCCAGGCTGGAGTGCAGTGGCAATGATCTCAACTCACTGCAGCCTCCGCCTCCTCGGTTCAAATTGTTCTCCTGTCTCAGCCTCCTAATTAGCTGGCATTACAGGCACCTGCCACCACGCCCAGCTAATTTTTGTATTTTTAGTAGAGACAGGGTTTCACCATGTTGGCCAGGCTGGTCTCGAACTCCTGACCTCAGGTGATCCACCTGCCTCGGCCTCCCAAAGTGCTGAGATTACCAGCATGAGCCACCATGCCAGGCCAGTGCATTTACTTTTAATGTCTTCTTAGTCTCCTTGAGTCTGTTTCTTAAATAACTGAAATTTTAATTGAGATAATAGCAGACTCACATGCAGTTATAAGGAGCAATACAGAGAGATTCCTTGTACACTTTGACCAGTTTCCCTAAATGGCAACATTTTAAAAAACTACAGTACAGTATCACAACCAGAATATTGACATTGATAAGTCAACTGCATTCAGGTTTCTACTGTTTTACTTGCACTCATTTGTGTGTGTGTGTATGTGTATGTGTATGTGTATGTGTCAGTGTGTCAAGTCTATACAATTCTGTCACCTGTATAGATTCAAGGATCTACCTCCACAGTCAAGATACTGAATAGTTTCAACACTATAAGGATTCCCCATATTGCCCTTTTACAATCAGCATACCTCCTATCCCTGTGCCCTGGCAACGCTTAATGTAGCATTTTATCATTATGCCCTTCTTTGTCTCTGGTAGTTGTCTTTGCTCTGAAGTCTAATTTATCAAATATTAATACAGCCATTTCTGCTTTTTTATTAAATCAATGTTTGCATGGTATAATTTAGTATCCTTTTCTATCTACCTACATTATTCAATTTGAAGTGACTTTTCTATAAGCAATATATAGTTGGGTCATGTTTCTTCATCCACTCTGCCAGTCTCTGTCTTTTGATTGGTATATTTAGTCCATTTACGTTCAAGTTAATTATCAATACATTAAGGCTTAAGTCCTCGGTCTTTTGTTCTTCTCTTCTTGCCTTCTTATAGGTCACTTGAACATTTTTTAGAGTCCTATATTAGGGTTCTCCAGAAAAACAGAACAAATTGGGTATATGGGAGAGGATTTATTAAGGAAATTGGCTCACACAATTACAGGAGCTGAGAAGTCCCACGACAGGCTATCTGCAAGCTGCAGAGCCAGGGAAGCCAATGGCACAGTGCAGGACAAGCCCAAAGCCTGAGAACCAAGGGAGCTGGTGGTGTAACTCAGTCTGAGGCCAAAGGTCCAAGAACCTGGGAGACTGCTCGTGCTAGTCCTGAAGTCTGAGGGCCAGAGAGCCTGGAGTTCCGATTTCCAAGGAGAGGAGAAGACAGGTGTCACAGCTCCAGAAGAGAAATGAGATTTGCCTTTTTGTTCTATCTACGCCCTCAAACAATTGGATGGTGGCCACCCATATTAGGCAGGGGTAATCTTTACTCAGTTCACTGATTCAGGTGCCAACCTCTTCTGGAAACACCCTCACAGATACACACAGAAAGAATACTTTACCTGCTATCTAGGTCCTCCTTAACCCAGTCAAGTTGATATGTAAAATTAATCATCACGGATTCCAGCTTGATTTGTTTATATTGTTTTTGAGTTTATCTTTTTGTATAGTTTTAAGTGATTACTTCAATTACTGCAATATAAACATACGGCTTATAATAATCTGCTTATTAGTAACAACATTTTACCACTTTGAACAAAGTGTGGAAACCTCACTTCCATTTAAGTCCTTTGTCTTGATTTAAATATCATCATCTTCAGTGTTAGATGGTTTTATATTTTTTATTCTATCATCAAATAGGACTGATGAAACTTGGGAGGAAAGGGGCAGTCTATTATTATTATTATTATTATTATTATTATTATTATTATTATTATTATTATCTTAAGACAGAGTTTCACTCTTATTGCCCAGGCTGGAGTGCAATGGCACAATCTCAGCTCACTGCAACCTCCCCCTCCCAGCTTCAAGCGATTCTCCTGCCGCAGTCTCCCAAGTGGCTGGGGTTACAGGCATCTGCCACCACACCTAGCTAATTTTTTTTTTTTTTTTTTTTTTAGTAGAGACGAGGTTTCACCATGTTGGTCAGGCTGGTGTTGAACTCCTGACCTCAGGTGATCCACCCACCTCGGCCTCCTAAAGTGTTGGGATTACAGGCGTTGGCACTGCACCCGGCCTGCGACAGTCTATTATTTTATGTACCCATATTTCTATTTTTCCATTGTTCCTTCTTCCTTCCTAATGCTCCAAGATTCCTTCTACTATCATTTCCTTTCGGCTTAAAGAACTTCCTTTAGCCAATTTTAAGGGTTGTTCTGCTAGCAACAAATTCTTTAGGTATCCATTATCTGAGAATGTTTCTATTTTCCTCTAGTTCCTGAGGCACAATTTCACCAGATACAGAAATTCACGATTGACAGTCCTTTTATTTCCGCACTTGAAAAATATCATGTCTTGTCCTTCTTCGTGTTTTCATACAGAAAATCTACTGTCATTTGAACTGGTGTTCCCTATAGGTAATGTAACATTTCAGATGGCCTCCATGTTTTCAGATGAGAAATCTACTGCCATTTGAATTGGTGTTCCCTATAGGTAATGCATCATTTCTCTCTGGCTGCTTTCAAGACTTTCTCTTCGCCTTTAGGTTTCAAGAGTTTAATTATAATGTATCTTGGTGTTTCACTGGGTTTATCCTGTACCAAGTTCGCATAGCTTCTTGGGTCCTTAGGTTTGTTTCTTTTGCCAAAGGTGGTAAGATTTCCACTATTATTTCTTTCAAACACTCTTTTAGACCTACTTACTCTCCCTTCCTCTGGAAATCCAATTACGTGAATATTAAGTCTTTTGTTATTGCCCCACAAGTCATTTTTTTTGCAGTTTGCTTTCTTCCAATATATTAAGTGAATTCTATAGTTCCTTCCTCAAGTTTACTGATTCTGTCACTGCCACTCTATTGAGCCGGTCCAGTAAGCATTTTTTTTCCTGTTGTTTTTCAGTTCTAAAATTTCCATTTTGGTGCTTTTTTATTTCATTTATTTAGTTTTAATTAATTTTATATGGCTCTTTGCTGAGATTTTTATATCTTTTGTTTCAGGATAATTTTAATTGATTTTGAAGCATTTTTATGATGGATGCTTTAAAATCCTTGTCAGAAAATTCCAACATCTGATTCATCTTGTATTGGTGACTGTTGATTGTCTTTTCTGATTCAATTTGTGGTTTCCTTTGTTGATGGTATGACAAGTGATTTGCTATTATATCATGAACATTTTGTCTATTATGTTAGAAGTCTCTAACATAGGCTTCTATTAAATCTTTTAACAGTTAGCCACCCTGTTTAGTTTTAGCACGAGTATCTTGGTCTACTTTTCTAGGCTATCGTTCCAATAGCAGACTAATTTACAGAGCCTTTGCAGTGTTATTTAGCCTGCTTTGTTTATCTAGTGCCTTTGAGCTCCCATTGGTCTCTGCTGGCACTGCCTGAGAGGGTAAAGAAGTTCCCTGAGCCAGGCTGCCAGTTGTCTCTTGGTGGAAGAGGGTGTGGTAGTCCTAGGTTACTCCTAGCTTCCCCAGTATCACTGGAGTGAAAAAGGCAAGCTTTGAACCCACAGAGACAAAGAGGTCTTCTGTAATGGGCCACTTGCTCTTGCCAGTTCCACCTACCTGCCCATATCTCTGGGTAGGAGAGAAAAGGCTCAGGCCCACATGGCCAAAGATCTCTCAGACCAGGCCATTTGCTGTGGCTATGTCCTTTTTGCAAGCAGTGCCCACCCTGGTGTCTCTGGGCTGAAGAGGAAAATCTCACATCCACAGGGAAGAAGAGTCTTCTCAAACTGGACTGCTAGCTATAGTTGGGTCTCTCTTACCAGTTCTGCCAACCTGCCTCAGTGGAAAAGGGACATCTCAGGACAGGCAAGGAAGGAATGTGCTTCCTCTCACCACTTATAGGGTTAAGATTAGGGCTAGAGTTCCCAACTGATCCCCTTTGTCAATGCTGTCGGCCTTGGCAGATGTTTTCGGGGGGACTTCCATTTGATTCAGGGGAGGAATGAGCCAACCTACCTAGCCTGCACTCTGTTGCTAGGTGGGAGGGTCAGGAAACACCGGGTCTAGGTGGATGGGAGGATGCAAGATGCTCTACGACTATGTTGTTCTTCCAATGCTGTGATCCCAAGTCAGTTCACTTTCTTCTTATAAACTTCAAGAATTCTCCTTTGGGTGTCTTTTGTACCAATTCCAAGATTTAGAGTTGTACTTAGCAGGGAAGAGCAGGAAAACTGAGTCTATACCATCTTATTTGTAATAAAAGCCTCCCTATGAGTCTGTTTCAATTATCTGTTTTCTCTCTTCATTTTCAGCCAATTTTTAAATTTTCAGGTCTTTTTTTAATTGAATTCCAGACTAAGTTGTATAACTATGTAAATATTTATTACATGTTGTAAAATATTATACATAGTAATTATAATAATAACTTGAGGCAATGCTTGATGCTGTCTTCCTCCACAGATTTACATTTGCTTCTAGCAAACAATAAAGCTAGGAGCAGACTCTTTAATCCAATCAGGGATTGAGGTAATGTGAAAGCTGGGCTTCAGCCTTTGTAAGAGCTGATCTATTTTGAGTTCACCCTTAAGCACAGGGTGTAGCCCATCCTTCAGGGTTCCCAACTAAAAGCCTGAGGTATTTTCCAGCGCCCCTTCTTTCTTTGCAGCCCCTGAAATCCAACTGTGTCCCCCGATGCTGCATAACCACCAAAACTCTGCTTAGAATCTCAGTCTCTCTGCCATTACTTTGTGCTCAATCTCTTAGCCGCACATCTCAAATCGGCCAGTCCCCCCAAGGGAAAAGCTGTACCAAAAGTTGGCCCTCGCCCCTGAGTTTACCTTCTCTCCAAAATTTTGGTCTCTCTAGTCCCTTTCTTTGCCTTGCTCACTTTCCAAAGCCTTCAAGCAGATTTTTAAAACAATATTTCCCAGCTTCTCTACTAGTTGTTCTCAGTTGGAGCACTGGCTTAGAAAAAGCTATTCTACCACTGATAGAAATGAAAATCTCCCTAGTAGCCTGTTTTGTGATATAAAAAGATGTCCCAGGATCATCTTATAGCATTCTTGACCCCAACATGAAATAAGCCATTTTTCTAAGGTACCCTAAGTTCCTTGTAGTGGGAATTAGTATTTACAGAACAGAGTCTGGCATTAGAAGTGCTCAATGCTACCTAGGTTGCTTTCTGGGATTTTCCAGCAGAGAAAAACAGAAAATACATTTTCAATAAAGAAAAAATACCATGAGTTCATACGGACATCTCCAACTCAAATTTATGGTCCCAATATCCTTAATCAACAACTTCTCTGTTTCTACCTTTGTATCTCCTCTTTTCCACACCAAAATCCAGAGCACCAATCCAATATAATTATCCATTTGTTTTACTTAACAATGCATGCTTCCAGAACAATACCAATAATACCAGTTATACGATTACTAAAAACAGTTTACAATATTTTTGCAGTTCTTTGTCCTTGAGGATATGTCCCTCTAGAAATGTATAATCAAATTACTATGTTTCAAAGTCATTTGAAAGATCATGTGCTTCAGCCTCAAACTTAATATACATTTAGTTATATATAACTAAATGTAAATATACGTTTAGTTATATATAACTTAATATACATTCACTTATTCCATATGCACTTGATTTTTATTTTTATTTTTTTAAATTTTTTTAAAAATTTATTATCATTATACTTTAAGTTTTAGGGTACATGTGCACAATGTGCAAGTTAGTTACATATGTATACATGTGCCATGCTGGTGCGCTGCACCCACTAACTCGTCATCTAGCATTAGGTATGTCTCCCAATGCTATCCCTCCCCCCTCCCCCCACCCCACAACAGTCCCCAGAGTGTGATGTTCCCCTTCCTGTGTACATGAGTTCTCACTGTTCAATTCCCACCTATGAGTGAGAATATGCAGTGTTTGGTTTTTTGTTCTTGCGATAGTTTACTGAGAATGATGATTTCCAATTTCATCCATGTCCCTACAAAGGACATGAACTCATCATTTTTTATGGCTGCATAGTATTCCATGGTGTATATGTGCCACATTTTCTTAATCCAGTCTATCATTGTTGGACATTTGGGTTGGTTCCAAGTCTTTGCTATTGTGAATAGTGCCACTATAAACATACGTGTGCATGTGTCTTTATAGCAGCATGATTTATATAGTCCTTTGGGTATATACCCAGTAATGGGATGGCTGGGTCAAATGGTATTTCTAGTTCTAGATCCCTGAGGAATCACCATACTGACTTCCACAATGGTTGAACTAGTTTACAGTCCCATCAACAGTGTAAAAGCGTTCCTATTTCTCCACATCCTCTCCAGCACCTGTTGTTTCCTGACTTTTGAATGATTGCCATTCTAACTGGTGTGAGATGGTATCTCATTGTGGTTTTGATTTGCATTTCTCTGATGGCCAGGGATGGTGAGCATTTTTTCATGTGTTTTTTGGCTGCATAAATGTCTTCTTTTGAGAAGTGTCTGTTCATGTCCTTCGCCCACTTTTTGATGGGGTTGTTTGTTTTTCCTTGTAAATTTGTTTGAGTTCATTGTAGATTCTGGATATTAGCCCTTTGTCAGATGAGTAGGTTGCAAAAATTTTCTCCCATTTTGTAGGTTGCCTGTTCACTCTGATGGTAGTTTCTTTTGCTGTGCAGAAGCTCTTTAGTTTAATTAGATCCCATTTGTCAATTCTGGCTTTTGTTGCCATTGCTTTTGGTGTTTTAGAGATGAAGTCCTTGCCCATGCCTACGTCCTGAATGGTAATGCCTAGGTTTTCTTCTAGGGTTTTTATGGTTTTAGGTCTAACGTTTAAGTCTTTAATCCATCTTGAATTGATTTTTGTATAAGGTGTAAGGAAGGGATCCAGTTTCAGCTTTCTACATATGGCTAGCCAGTTTTCCCAGCACCATTTATTAAATAGGGAATCCTTTCCCCAATGCTTGTTTTTCTCAGGTTTGTCAAAGATCAGATAGTTGTAGATATGAGGTGTTATTTCTGAGGGCTCTGTTCTGTTCCATTGATCTATATCTCTGTTTTGGTACCAGTACCATGCTGTTTTGGTTACTGTAGCCTTGTAGTATAGTTTGAAGTCAGGTAGTGTGATGCCTACAGCTTTGTTCTTTTGGCTTAGGATTGACTTGGCGATGCGGGCTCTTTTTTGGTTCCATATGAACTTTAAAGTAGTTTTTTCCAATTCTGTGAAGAAAGTCATTGGTAGCTTGATGGGGATGGCACTGAATCTGTAAATTACCTTGGGCAGTATGGCCATTTTCACGATATTGATTCTTCCTACCCATGAGCATGGAATGTTCTTCCATTTGTTTGTATCCTCTTTTATTTCCTTGAGCAGTGGTTTGTAGTTCTCCTTGAAGAGGTCCTTCACTTCCCTTGTAAGTTGGATTCCTAGGTATTTTATTCTCTTTGAAGCAATTGTGAATGGGAGTTCACTCATGATTTGGCTCTCTGTTTGTCTGTTGTTGGTGTATAAGAATGCTTGTGATTTTTGTACATTGATTTTGTATCCTGAGACTTTGCTGAAGTTGCTTATCAGCTTAAGGAGATTTTGGGCTGAGACGATGGGGTTTTCTAGATATACAATCATGTCATCTGCAAACAGGGACAATTTGACTTCCTCTTTTCCTAATTGAATACCCTTTATTTCCTTCTCCTGCCTAATTGCCCTGGCCAGAACTTCCAACACTATGTTGAATAGGAGTGGTGAGAGAGGGCATCCCTGACTTGTGCCAGTTTTCAAAGGGAATGCTTCCAGTTTTTGCCTATTCAGTATGATATTAGCTGTGGGTTTGTCATAGATAGCTCTTATTATTTTGAAATACGTCCCATCAATACCTAATTTACTGAGAGTTTTTAGCATGAAGAGCTGTTGAATTTTGTCAAAGGCCTTTTCTGCATCTATTGAGATAATCATGTGGTTTTTGTCTTTGGTTCTGTTTATATGCTGGATTACATTTATTGATTTGCGTATATTGAACCAGCCTTGCATCCCAGGGATGAAGCCCACTTGATCATGGTGGATAAGCTTTTTGATGTGCTGCTGGATTCGCTTTGCCAGTATTTTATTGAGGATTTCTGCATCAATGTTTATCAAGGATATTGGTCTAAAATTCTCTTTTTTGGTTGTGTCTCTGCCTGGCTTTGGTATCAGGATGATGCTGGCCTCATAAAATGAGTTAGAGAGGATTCCCTCTTTTTCTATTGACTGGAATAGTTTCAGAAGGAATGGTACCAGTTCCTCCTTGTACCTCTGGTAGAATTCAGCTGTGAATTCATCTGGTCCTGGACTCTTTTTGGTTGGTAAGCTATTGATTATTGCCACAATTTCAGATCCTGTTATTGGTCTATTCAGAGATTCAACTTCTTCCTGGTTTAGTCTTGGGAGGGTGTATGTGTCGAGGAATTTATCCATTTGTTCTAGATTTTCTAGTTTATTTGCGTAGAGGTGTTTGTAGTATTCTCTGATGGTAGTTTGTATTTCTGTGGGATCGGTGGTGATATCCCCTTTATGATTTTTTATTGCGTCTATTTGATTCTTCTTTTTTTCTTTATTAGTCTTGCTAGCAGTTTATCAATTTTGTTGATGAAATGAATGAAATGAAGCGAGAAGGGAAGTTTAGAGAAAAAAGAATAAAAAGAAACGAGCAAAGCCTCCAAGAAATATGGGACTATGTGAAAAGACCAAGTCTACGTCTGATTGGTGTACCTGAAAGTGACGGGGAGAATGGAACCAAATTGGAAAACACTCTGCAGGATATTATCCAGGAGAACTTCCCCAATCTAGCAAGGCAGGCCAACATTCAGATTCAGGAAATACAGAGAACGCCACAAAGATACTCCTCGAAAAGAGCAACTCCAAGACACATAATTGTCAGATTCACCAAAGTTGAAATGAAGGAAAAAATGTTAAGGGCAGCCAGAGAGAAAGGTCGGGTTACCCACAAAGGGAAGCCCATCAGACTAACAGCTGATCTCTCAGCAGAAACTCTACAAGCCAGAAGAGAGTGGGGGCCAATATTCAACAATCTTAAAGAAAAGAATTTTCAATCCAGAATTTCATATCCAGCCAAACTAAGCTTCATAAGTGAAGGAGAAATAAAATCCTTCACAGACAAGCAAATGCTGAGAGATTCTGTCACCACCAGGCCTGCCCTAAAAGAGCTCCTGAAGGAAGTGCTAAACATGGAAAGGAACAACCGGTACCAGCCGCTGCAAAATCATGCCAAAATGTAAAGACCATCGAGACTAGGAAGAAACTGCATCAACTAACGAGCAAAATAACCAGCTAACATCATAATGACAGGATCAAATTCACACATAACAATATTAACTTTAAATGTAAATGGACTAAATGCTCCAATTAAAAGACACAGACTGGCAAATTGGATAAAGAGTCAAGACCCATCAGTGTGCTGTATTCAGGAAACCCATCTCACGTGCAGAGACACACATAGGCTCAAAATAAAAGGATGGTGGAAGATCTACCAAGCAAATGGAAAACAATAAAAGGCAGGGGTTGCAATCCTAGTCTCTGATAAAACAGACTTTAAACCAACAAAGATCAAAAGAGACAAAGAAGGCCATTACATAATGGTAAAGGGATCAATTCAACAAGAAGAGCTAACTATCCTAAATATATATGCACCCAATACAGGAGCACCCAGATTCATAAAGCAAGTCCTGAGCGACCTACAAAGAGACTTAGACTCCCACACATTAATAATGGGAGACTTTAACACCCCACTGTCAACATTAGACCAACATTAGATCAACGAGACAGAAAGTCAACAAGGATACACAGGAATTGAACTCAGCTCTGCACCAAGCGGACCTAATAGACATCTACAGAACTCTCTACCCCAAATCAACAGAATATACATTTTTTTCCAGCACCACACCACACCTATTCCAAAATTGACCACATACTTGGAAGTAAAGCTCTCCTCAGCAAATGTAAAAGAACAGAAATTATAACAAACTATCTCTCAGACCACAGTGCAATCAAACTAGAACTCCAGGATTAAGACTCTCACTCAAAACTGCTCAACTACATGGAAACTGAACAACCTGCTCCTGAATGACTACTGGGTACATAACGAAATGAAGGCAGAAATAAAGATGTTCTTTGAAACCAACGAGAACAAAGACACAACATACCAGAATCTCTGGGACACATTCAAAGCAGTGTGTAGAGGGAAATTTATAGCACTAAATGCCCACAAGAGAAAGCAGGAAAGATCCAAAATTGACACCCTAACATCACAATTAAAAGAACTAGAAAAGCAAGAGCAAACACATTCAAAAGCTAGCAGAAGGCAAGAAATAACTAAAATCAGAGCAGAACTGAAGGAAATAGAGACACAAAAAACCCTTCAAAAAATTAATGAATCCAGGAGCTGGTTTTTTGAAAGGATGCACTTGATTTTTAGAGATTGCCTTTTTCTCTCATTTTAATTTATTTTTATTTTATAATATGGTAAAGCATTGGCATGGTTCTAAATGTAATCCACAAAATAAAGTACATTCAGAAGTCTAGCCTCCATCCCTGTTTTATCCACCCCATTCTCTCTCTCTCCTTAATCATTTTTATTAGTTTTTGGTTTATCATTCCATTGGTGTGTTTATATATATGCACAAAAATATATATTTATAGATTTATAGATCCCCTTTCTTTAAAAAATGACAGTGTACAATACCACTGTTCTGCTACAGTGGGTTTTGTTTTTTTTTTCATTTAACAATATATTCTCCCCCACAGTAGTACATAGCTATTCCTCCTTCCCTTTTATAGCTACATAGTACTCTGCTCTGTGAACAAGTCATATTTTATTTAACCAGCCCTCTAATGATACAAGCCCAGACTGAACTGCTATTGAATTTTGTTTTATAGTTTAAATTCACATGAAAATTCAAATGGTTTCACTGTGATGACCAAATCGCTAACCTGCTGGTATTCTGGCCTTTGCTTTAACAGCTTTAAACAAAAAGGTTAACTAAATAAGCAAGACACAAAATATGCTAACAAAGCCCCTACCCAAACCCCTGATACAGGGTTCTCAGATTAACATCAAAATATCCACAAAGCTTTAAAAAATACAGATGATGTGGCCCTAACACAAACCCCTCTTGAGTGGAATCCAGCACTGCATTGGTGTCCTTAAAAGCTCCACAAATGATTCTAATACACCAAACCAATAACAAACTTTCCATATATGATCTTGTAATTTCTAAGTGTTAAAGTAAGTGACTTAAATTTTTGGCACCAATACTAAAAATATTTCTGCATTCCAAAGTTTCGTCTCTATCAGAAAATTTTGATCTAATTTCTTAAATTCGAAAGAAATACAAAGAAAAAGATTCATCATGAATATTGACTCATACTATGATCTAAAATGTAAAATATTAAGCATTTGTCCTAATTATTAAAAATAATAATAAAGCTACAACCATTATAAATGATATAACATTATAAATGAATTCTATATGTTTTAATATTTAGGACATTCTACTATACCCATCCACAAGGATAATTAAAACAACCATAATATGGCTCCCTCATATTTTTAAACAATAATAAATCATCAACCTTGAAAGACTCAATAAAAGCAATGGACAAGTCCTTTGCTCAAATCCTGGGCTGTCCCTGAAATTGTCCTGGCTAGATCAAGGTCTCCATGATACTCCTACAGGTAATTACATCTGCATCCGTGGCTTCATCTACCATCTCTATGTTGCTAACTGCCCAAGCTGTATTTCCAGCTCAAGGCTAGACCCATGTTTCAGACTTATATTCCCTATATCAAAAATTTAAGTCATTAAATCCCCTTCTTTTATGCTTTCTTTAAACAACTTTGTCATCTACCCTATCTTCCAAAAATTATTGACTCTTTCTTTACCTTCACCTCCATTCATTCAGCCTACAAACCAATCTCATCTTTTTCCCTCTTTGATCCCCTTGCTAAGGCCAATGCTCTAATTCAAATTCTCCTCCTCCTAGTCTAGTCTACTGCAACAGTCTCTTAACTGTGGCTCAGTCCAGCTCCCCCGTCTGGACAGTTCTTTGCAGAGCCACCTGTCATCTTCTTTATAATGTTACCAAGGGCAATCTGATCATGTCAAAACTTGCCTGGAAACCTCTGCATGCCTTAGCACAACATGCAAGGTCTGTGACAATCCAACCCCAACTTACCCCTACTGCTCCATCACTAGCCACTGCTCCCCAGACTGAGCAGACCATATTGTGGCAATATTGACTATGTATTTCTTCCTCAACTCACCTGCATTAAGTCTTCGTGGCTCAGCACAGCCTGACTTCTCTGTCTAGAATAACTTATTTTTTCCTAACCAACCTTTCAGATCTCACTTCAAATGTCCCTTGGAGCTCTGGGAACCTGTGCCCCAAGTTTTCAGTGCTGAGCTAATTAATGCCTTCTCCGTGGTAAACTTATCATGTGGTTTGATTATTACTGTTATAGAGAATAATCTCTGCCCACTACACTACCAAGACTTTCTCAAGAACATATCTCATTCACCTCTTTTTCGCCAGTGCCTAAAACATCATAGATATTCATGTAACATTTGTTGCCTAATAAATAACAGTATCAACTCTAACACAGTTTTGCAACAACAAAAATTTTCAAGCTCTTATTAAGAGCAAAGTTTACTATAAAGGAAGTCCAGAACAATCTCGTGTGTATCCATGACAGTATGGGAAAAGAAAAAAACATTTCAGAAGCTAAAGAACTGCAGGTGGACCTTTCTTTCAAAGACATCTGAACACTGACTCTATCCCCTCAGATGAATAGGTGCCGTGTGGATGCCTAGCTTGGTTCAAGAACAAAGAAAGTCCATTGGTTTACAGCAGCCATATACAGGTTGTTCATGTTTTTCTAAATAAAAACTCAGGCTAGCCAGACTGGCTCATGCCTGTAATCCCAGCACTTTGGGAGGCTGAGCTGGGAGGATCGCTTGAGGCCAGGAGCTTGAGACCAGCCTAGGCAACACTGTGAGACCCTATCTCTACAAAAAAATAAAAATAGGTTGGGCACAGTGACTCACACCTGTAATCCCAAACACTATGGGAGGCCGATGCAGATGGATCGCTTGAGGCTAGTAGTTCAAAACTAGCCTAGGCATCATCGTGAGACCCCATCTCTACCAAAAAAAAAAAAAAAATTTAGCCAGGTGTGGTATGGCACACACCTGCAGTCCTAGCTACTCAGGAGGCTGAGGTGGAAGGATTATCTGAGTTCAGGAAGTCAAGGCTGCAGTGAGCTATAGATCATGCCACTGCACTCCAGCCTGGTGGCAGAGTGAGAACCTGTCTCTAAAAAAATTTTTTTTAATTATACACACACACACACACACACACACACAAACAAACGTACCTACATATGTATATATATTATATATATTAAATTATATATAATATATAATCTATAATACATATATAATTATATATTTTATATAATTATAGATAATATACAATTATATTTTACATAATTATAGATAATTATATATTATCTATATAGTATATTATATTATATATACATAAATAAATAATATATACCCACATATATATGTATTTATATATATTAGTTATGTGTGTGTGTGTGTGTGTGTGCGTGCGCACGCGCGCGCGCGCCTCTCTCTCTCTCTCTCTCCCTTTCTATTTCTCTCTCTCTCTGGACAGTACAGCAGCAAAAACTGAGTTCCAGAACCAACAAAATTCAACCCTGATCTTATGGCAGAATTATCTCTTCCCATTCAACTACAGTCCACCCGAAATGATAAAATAGCTTCTCCCATGCGCAAAACGTTGGTATGAGTTTTGTTAGTTTCTTCCTGTACTTGATATCCCATTCATCACATGTATGAACAATTTATGATATAACTGCCATCAAAGACTTCCTTAGGTGTATTCCTTCATCTCCATTCCCACTCTACCCCAAGCTCAAAAACAATTCATGGTAGTCTTATTGCTAACACCTCTGGCTACCTTCAGCAGCTTCTGAGACCACAAAGCCTACTAAGCACCCTACAGCAGAACAACATTCCTAAAGCACCAATGTCACCATGTCACTACCCTTGTCAATATTTAGAATAACTCTGCACAGACTGTGGAATGAAGTCTGAACTCCTCCTGTTCCTGACATTCTAACTATTAAGAATGTCAATCCTTCTCCTCTCACCTGCGAAGCCAATTCTCATGGTCCCCCAGACACTCAGTGCCCACTCCTACCTCTCTTGTGCTTTTGCTCCTACCATATTCCCCTCCCTGCCCAGAGAACGGATACACACACACACACACACACACACACACACACACACTCCCCTATCTAGAATATGCTCTCAACCCTTCTTGTATATTCAACAACCAGAATCTCTCACAGGGCCCTGAATATTAGGCAAAAATAAGCACAAATAAGGCTTACATTCAACCTGTTGGCTATCAGGTCTCTGTAACTATAATCTCTTTGAAAGAGTCCACGTAAATATATAGCAATGAAAGAAAAGAAAAGGCAATGGGCAAGATAAAGAAAAGAAGTTTAAGGATCCTGATATTTAACTCCACTCCTCTTAGCCATCTGATACCTTTTATTTGCATACAACCTTACACTTTCCAGAAATTTTTTATGGTTATTTAAGACTACAAAGACCTACACAATCTTGCTTCTACCCACAAATGAAGAAAAAAGAATACCAGCAGATACTTAGATAAGTTTTGGGGGTTGAACAGACAAGATTTAATAATAGTTTGCAAGTGAGTAAATGGGAATAAAGAAAACACCCAGGTTTCTAGCCTGAGTGGTCTCATACAAATGCTAAGAAAACTGAGGGTCAAACAGGCTTGGAATAAAAATCAAAAGTTCAATGTTACAGTATTCAAAGTCCCCAGACTGAGAAGAACATCTGAGTTTCAGGTACAGATACAGAAGACGATTGAGTGCAGATGCACAGCAAGTACCCAGAAGAACTCTAACTTTTAGAAGCCAGAAGAAGACAAAGTCTGCAAATGAGCAGTCAGTCAAGCATGGCAAAAAAGAGAGAGAGCATGGAGTCCCAGAAATCCAGAAGCAAGTTTTCAAAAAGGAAGCAGTGAAACGTTATGAAGTTTAGTAAGACAAGGCCAGAGAATTAACCACTGGATTTGACAAGCTGTGGACACTGCTGCCCCTATGATCTCTAGCAGCCATAAGTTAATGAGAAAATTGGAAGTGAGGAAGTAGGAGATGTTAACAAGAGAACAATTTCATTTGCAGGAGTTTTGTTGTAAAATGAAACACAGAAATGAGGCCACATTTGGAGAAGACACGGGGGATCAAAGAAGGGTTTTTTTTGATTTTTTTCCCCCAGAGAGCTAATAATCTGCAGATAATTATTAGAATCAATAAAATACTTTAGGAAAGGTGCAAAAAGTCCACTGCATTTCCTTTAACCAGCAGCAAACAACTAATCATAAAATTTTTAAGAGAGGCTGCGGCTAAAGGAAGATGGAGACAATACTGGAGCAGCAGCGGCGCTATCATGAGGAGAAGGAAAGGCTCATGGACGTCATGGCCAAAGAGATGCTCACTAAGAAGTCCACGCTCAATTCTGATCACCGCACTCAGGCCATGCAAGATAGGTATATGGAGGTCAGTGGGAACCTGAGGGATCTGTATGATGATAAAGATGGATTATGAAAGGAGGAACTCAATGCCATTTCAGGACCCAGTGAGTTTGCTGAATTCTATAATAGACTCGAGTAAATAAAGGAATTCCACCAGAAGCACCCAAATGAGATCTGTGTGCCAATGTCAGTGAAATTTGAGGAGCTCCTGAAGGCTCAGAGAATCCAAGTGAAGAGGCACAAAACTTGGTGGAGTTCACAGATGAAGAGGGATATGGTCGTTACCTCGATCTCCGTGACTGTTACCTCAAGTACATTAACGTGAAGGCATCTGAGAAGCTGGATTATATCACATACCTGTCCATCTCTGACCAATTATTTGACATTCCTAAAGAAAGGAAGAATGCAGAGTATAAGAGATACCTAGAGATGCTGCTTGAGTAACTTCAGGATTACACAGATAGAGTAAAGCCTCTCCAAGATCAGAATGAACTTTTTGGGAAGATTCAGGCTGAGTTTGAGAAGAAATGGGAGAATGTGACCTTCCTGGATGGGCGAAAGAGACAAGCAGCGCTCTGACCCATGCTGGAGCCCATCTTGACCTCTCCGCCTTCTCCTCCTGGGAGGAGTTGGCCTCTCTGGGTTTGGACAGATTGAAATCTGCTCTCTTAGCTTTAGGCTTGAAATGTGGCGGACCGTAGAAGAGCAAGCCCAGAGACTATTCAGTACCAAAGGAAAGTCCCTGGAGTCACTTGATAACTCTTTGTTTGCCAAAAATCCCAAATCAAAGGGCACCAAGCGAGACATTGAGAGAACAAAGACATTGCTTTTCTAGAAGCCCAGATCTATGAATACTCTGACTCTCAGGGAACAGCAACATCTCACTCATGAAAATGCACAGTGCAAGCAAGCAAGGACAGGAGAAGAGCAAGAAGAGCAGATCAGTAAGAGTGAGAGTGAAGATGAAAAGAACGAGATCATTTACAACCCCAAAAACCTGCCACTTGGCTGGGATGGCAAACGCATTCCCTACTGGCTATATAAGCTTCATGGCCTAAATATCAACTATAACTGTGAGATTTGTGGAAACTACACCTACCAAGGGCGCAAAGCCTTCCAGTGACACTTTGCTGAATAGCATCATGCTCATGGCATGAGGTGTTTGGGCATCCCAAACACTGCTCACTTTGCTAATGTGACGCAGATTGAAGATGCTGTCTCCTTGTGGGCCAAATTCAAATTGCAGAAGGCTTCAGAATGATGGCAGCCTGACACTGGAGGAAGAATATGAAGACTCAAGTGGGAATGTTGTGAATAAGAAGACATATGAGGATCTGAAAAGACAAGGACTGCTCTAGTGCTCAGGGATGTAGCTCAGCTTTTGGGCTAGCCCAGGCTTCCCTGAGATCTGTTTTTTCTATTTCTCCCAACCAAATTCTCTTAAAGACCCTTTGCTACGTAGTCTCATGGTCTAGCATGCATCCTGTAGAAACAAGGCATGCTGGCAGATTGCAGGGCTGAGATGTGTTTTATCTGTTTTATATTTTAAAAGATTCTGCCAGAAAATAAAACCAGACCTTGTTCAAAAAAAAATTTAAAGATACAATTTACAAAAGTATAAAAAACATCAAATATCTGTGGCTCACACCTGTAATGCCAGCACATTGGGAGGCCGAGGCAAGCAGATCACTTGAGGTCAGGAGTTCAAGACCAACCTGGCCAACATGGTGAAACCCCATCTCTAATAAAAATACAAAAATTAGTCTGGCATGGTGGCGCACAACCGTAATCCCAGCTACTTGGGAGGCTGAGGCAGGAGAATTGCTTGAACCCAGGAGGCGGAGGTTGCAGTGAGCCAAGATCACGCCACTGCACTCCAGCCTGGGCAACAGAGTGAGACTCCGTCTCAAAAAACAAACAAACAAACAAACAAACAAACATCAAATATCTTGGAAAGAGATCTACAAGACCTCTGCATAGAAAATTATAAAGCATTAAGACAAATTAGAAAAGATTTAAATAAATAAAGGTATATACCATGTTTGTGGTTCGGAAGACTCAACATTATAAAAGCTGTCAATTCACTCCAAACTGAGTTATAGGTTCATTACCAACCTAATCATATTCTCAAGATATTCTTCTTGTCAAAAATGAACAAGGTGATTCTAAAATCTATATGGAAATGCCATGGACCAAGAAGAGCCAAAATAAACCTGAAAAAGAACAAGAATAAGGTAAGGTGACTTAACATAAATCCATACTAATTAAGATAGTGCAGTATTACTGGCATAAGGATAGACAAACGGACCAAAGGAATAGAACAGAAAGTCCAGAAACAGATCATATATACATAAACACCTGATTGATAACAGACGCAGCACTACAGAGCACTGGGAAAAGAAAGGTCTTCTCAAAAAATGGGATTGGATATGCATAAAGCAAATAAATGTGGCTCTAATAAATGTGAATCTGAATATGCATAAAGCAAATAAATGTGTCTCTAACCTCGCACCACACACACACACTCTTTCTCTAGGTGGACTGTAGATTTAAGTGTGAAAGACAAAACAATGAAATGTCCAGAAGACAATACAGAAGAATATCTCCACGATCTTGGAATAGGGAAAGATTTCAACAAGACACAAAAAGGGAAAAAAATCAATACATTTCACTACGTTAAAATCAAGAAGTAAATGCAATCTGCAATATAACATCATTTTAACTGCCAGCTGAACCTGAAAAAAAGTAAGAGAAATCAGTAAAGGCCAAAAATAGAGACCTGAAAATCAGAGCAGGGAACATGTTAGCCAACTCCATAGTGTCCTGTGAGAGGCTGTCAATCCCCATGATCCAAGAGCATATCATCTTCTATAAAATAATCTGGATCTAAATGCTCAAAAGGAAGACACTGAGGCCTAGGTCCATGTAAGGCAGGGAATTGGAACCGAGAGCCCTTCAAGAAGGGTGGAACCCTTAAAGAGCTTTTAAAAACCAAACCCAGCTCTTAGGCACAGAAAAGCAACAAGAAAGCAGTTTCAGCATGGACCAAGGCAGGGGAAAATCCCTCCCAATGACTTCATAACGAGTCCCACACCCATTTGAGTTCTAATACATACCACCCTCACTTGGGTTCTAGGTACCCATAAGAAAATAAAATTAACATAGAAAGTAGCCCCAGGTCAGAATACCCCCAAAGATATCTAGAAGAAGTAATCACAAACTCTCTCTAGAGACATATGTCCATTGATAAAGTCTCACTGAAGAGGAACTCAAATTTTTGACAAAATTGAAGCAATGTACCATGAACAAAAATCAGCAAACTAACAACAGCATTAGACCCTATAAAGTTCAGTTACTAGAACAATCCAATAAAGAACATAAAATAAATTTAACTTTGGGAGGCCAACGCGGGTGGATCACAAGATCAGGAGTTCAAGACCAGCCTGGCCAAGATGGTGAAACCCTGTCTCTACTAAAAATACAAAAATTAGCTGGGTGTGGTGGCACGCATCTGTAATCCCAGCTACTCGCGAGGCTAAGGTAGAGAACTGCTTAAACCTGGGAGGCGGAGGTTGCAGTGAGCCGAGATCATGCCACTGCACTCCAGCCTGGGCAACAAGAAGACTCGGTCTCAAAAAATTAATTAATTAATTAAAATTGCTTAAAGGCACAATAGGATCAAAAGTATCAAAAAATAACACTATGAAAATAAGCAGCCAGTTTTATTAATAAAAGATAAAACCTCTAGAAATTAAAAATACAGTCACTGAAAATGAAAATTTAACAAGTTACACCACAAATTAGATACAGTTAAAGTGAGAATTTGTGAACTAGAGAACAGATCTGAGGAAATTATCCTGAATGCAACAGAGGGAAATAGATAAAAATTATGAGAAGTAGAAAGTAAACAGAATAAAAAGAATAGGCAACATGTGTCTGTCTAAAAGTCGTACTAAGAGATAATAACAAATAAAATGTAAAGGAAGCTTTCAAAAGATAATACCTGAGAATTTCCCAGAAATGATAACAGACTTGAATCCTCAGATAAAGAATGCACATACACTGAGCAAAATAAAAATAAATCCACATTTGGGCACATCATAGTAATACTACGTTAATACAATCAACCAAAAGAGAAAGGGAAAGAAAAAAATAACAGAGATAGACTATGAGTAAAAGCAAGAGCACTTATAAAAAACCAGAATGGTTTGGTGTGGTGGCTCACACCTGTAATCCCAGCACTTTGGGAGGCCAAGGCGGACAGATTACTTGAGGCCAGGAATTCGAGACAACAGTGAAACCCCATATCTACTAAAAATAAAAAAGTGGCACACAACTGTAATTTCAACTACTCAGGAAGGTGAAGCACCAGAATCGCTTGAACTCGGGAAACAGAGGTTGCAGTGAGTCAAGATCACACCACTGCAATCCAGCATGAGTGAAAGAGCAAGACTCTGTCTCAAAAAAATAAAAATAAAAATAAAAAGGAAAAAAAGAAAAAGGAAAAGAAAAACAACCAGAAGGAAACAAAATGGCACCTGAGATTTACTTCAAAATAATCTATGCTGGCTGGTGGGAGGAGGGGAAGGCATGGGAATGGGGCAGTGGTAAAAGTGAAAAAGACTGGCTATGAGTTGCAAATGTTGAAGCTGGTGACAGACACGTCACACTTGTTATACCTTCCATTTTTGTTTATTTGAAATTTTCCAGAGTAAGAAGCTAAAAAAGAGAGAAAGAAAAAAAATTACCTATGAATGAATTAGACTGACAGCTGACTTTGAAACATCAGTAATAAAAATCAGAAGACATTGGAAAAAAACATTCAAATTGCTCAAAGAAAATAATGATCAATCTTAAATTCCAGACCCAGCTATATGAGCATTCAAGGGTGAAGACAAAATAAAACAACAGACAAAATCTGACATGCTTGCCAAAAGAAAAGCTCACAAGCACAGTTCAAAAATTCAGGCTGGGCGGGGTGGCTTATGCCTGTAATCCCAGCACTTTGGGAGGCTGAGGCAGGAGGATTATGAGGTCAGGAGTTTGAGACCAGCCTGACCGACATGGTGAAACCCCGTCTCTACTAAAAATACAAAAATAAGCCAGGCATGGTGGCAGGCACCTGTAATCCCAGCTACTTGGGAGGCTGAGGCAGGAGAATTGCTTGAACCCAGGAGGCAGAGGTTGCAGTGAGCCAAGATCGCACCATTGCACTCCAGCCTGGACGACAGGGCAAGACTCCAACTCAAAAAAAAAAAAAAAAAAAAAAAAAAAAACCTCAAAAAAATGTATTGGCAAACCAAATCTAAAAATCTGTATTAAAAAACATATCATGGCCAAAATGGGTTCAACTCAGGAATACAAAGATGGTCTAACAATTAAAAAGTATGTAAGTGTAATTTACCACATTAACAGATGAAAAGACAAAAATCAATATAATCACAGGCCACCTTCTATGTGCAGGGAACTATTCCATAGGATTCTTTTTAAAGTCAGGATCAAGACCATTCAACAATGTCCTACATTGATAATATTCAACAACATGAACTAGCTCATTAATTACACAAGAAAAAGAAAGAAGGTGTATACAGTTTAGAAGTAAACTGTCACAACTTATTGGCAGCATGACTATCAACATGGGGAACAGGAGAATCCACACACAAGCTACCAGTACTACAAGAGCTTAGGAAGGATTCATAGATATAAAAATTCAAAATACGAGGAAATAAATTCTGCCTTTGCACTTCTGCCATCACCATGATGGTGAGGCTCAGCCAGCCTCTGGTACAAAGAGATGTGACAGCTGTGACACCCCCATCCCCACCAGCTGAGCCCAGTCAACCTCCTGCCTAGATCCAGACAGGTGAATAAGTTTACCAGACTTCAGAGAGGTGCCCAGATAAATACAGATACTCATGAGCTAAATATTACTCAGTGCAATAATAATAATAATAATAATAATAATAATAATAATAATTTTAAAATCCATTCCTAGGTACTATAGTAATCAATTAGTTTCTAGTAATAACAAAATTCTCTATCGAGTAGTAAATCTAATAAAAGTGTGTCAGATCATTTGAAAAAAGCTATAAGAATTTACTGAAAGATATGAGACCTAAACTGGAAATATAAAGCATCTTTCCAGAAGGATGCGAAGGATGGAAAGACCCTCTATAATAAAGATGACAGATTTCCCCAGGCTTATCTCAACATCAGGTGAAATTCCAACAAAATATCAACAGGGATTTTTGTTGAAATTAGGGGAGCCAAGAGTTAAGAACAATCAAGACAAGTCTGAAGTTTTAAATGATTATAGCACAATTCAATACAAACGGGGAGCAGGGGCAAAACTGTTCTATAAATGGAACTGCAACAACCGCTTACCATATAAAGATAATTAAATTAGGTCAATATAACAAATCATTCACAGAAACAAGTTACAGGTGGATAAAAGATCAGAATGGAATAAAGCAAAAATTTTAAATTTTGAGGAAGTAAAATATAGAAGAGTATATTTACAAGGTCAGTACAGGAAAGGAATTTTATAATATAACACAAAAAGGACAAGCCATAAAGGAAAAGAATAATAACATTTACTACATGTGGGTTTTGGTTTCTTTGTTGTTTTTTTTTTTTTAAAGACAAGGTCCCTCTCTGTCATCCAGGATAGAATGCAGTAGTGTGATCTTAGCTCACTGCAGCCTCAAACTGCTGGGCTCAAGTGACCCTCCCACCTCAACTTCCCAAGTAGCTAAGACTACAGTTATGTGCTATCATGCCCTGCAAATTTTTAAATTTTTTTATAGAGATGGGGTCTCCCTATGTTGCCCAGACTGGTCTCAAACTCCTGGGCTTAAGCAATCCTCTCACCTCAGCCTCCCAAAGTGCTGGGATTATGGTGTGAGTCATCATGCCCGGCCTCATGTATTTTTTAAAATGAGAAAGGTTATTAAACTGCTATGGAATTTGGATTCTACTCAATAAATATTTTTAAAGTAATACTGTATAATGGGGAATTTTTTCAGCAGCTCTATTTATAATATACAGAAATTGTATCTCTTCAACTCTATAAATCTGTTTTTTTTTGAAAAATAATATGTGTCAACTGCATGTCAACCTGAAAGCAAGGAAGTAAAAAGAATTTCAGTTATTTTGGAGGTGTTTCAAAAGACTGAAGATCACTACCCTAGAGAAAAATCACACATGTATGCAAAAAGAGATAGGTAAAGAATGCTAATTGGGCCGGGCATGGTGGCTCACACCTGCAATCCCAGCACTCTGAGAGCCCCAGGCAGGCAAATTGCTTAGGCCAGGAGTTCAAGATCAGCCCGGGCAACATAGTGAAGCCTGGTCTCTACTAAAAACACAAAAAATTAGCTGGGTGTGGTGGCACATGCCTGTAGTCTCAGCTATTCCAGAGGCTGAGGTGGGAGGATCACCTAAGCCCTGAAGGTCAGGGCTGCAGTGAGCGGTGATTACATCACTGCACTCTAGCCTGGTTCATAGAGTGAGACCCTGTCACAAAAAAAAAGAATGTAATTGTAGTACTATTTGTAACAGCAAAAGTTGGAAAACTCTAAATGCCCATCAGCAGGAAAATGGGTAAGTAAACTGGAATCCTTCTGTAATTAATATTAACTATGAATCCACTAGAACTACATTTATCAACAGATAAATCTCCAGCATATCTCATCTCAAGATTAAAAAATGCTACATGTTTTTGGGAATAAGATATTGTTTGCAGAAATATCTCTCTGTACTCTCTGTAATAAGAGTAGAAACATGCAAGAGAAATAATAAACATCAACTTCACCATACTAGTTACCTCTGGGGAAAGGGTACGGTGAAGAGGATTAAGAAGGGGTGGTAACATGGGGACCTTGGTCAGTATCTGTAACATTTTACTTTTTAGAATAACATTAATATGAAGAAAATTCAGAAAAACCAGGTTGCAAGTACAAAGAGATATTCCTCGCATCTCTTCCATAGGCTTCAAATATTTCATATTAATAGGAAGTTATAGTTAGTTCAGAGACTGAACCAGCACTAAACATATCATCACTTTAAAAAAATGAGTTATACATTTTGTCAGTATTGGTCAGTGTTTCTCAAAGAGTTGTCCAAATACTGCTCCCATTAAAAGACAGTCATGTCATCTATCAAAAGAGAAGCATAAGACACAATGATATTTATATATAAGTTCTGAGAAGGCATAAAATGAATCTAATTCTGCAGATCTGTCTCAAGATCATCTTTGCCAAACCTTCTGATCAAAATCCTTGATATCTCCAGTACTTCAAAAACAGTGTTCAAAAGGGAAAACTGAGTGACAATTATAGCCAGGTTGGCCTTTTCATTCAATTTAGAGAAAAACTATCCAAACAGGAAATGTGTTATTTGCAGAGAAATGCTTACAAATAGCTGAAAATCGCTATCATTTTATCATTCAGAATCAAAACACGCAAAAAAATTCTAAAAAATAATTGTGAAAGCACATATTTATGAATATCAAACATTAGGACAGGAAAACTATTTTTAATAGCACAAAACACAGTTAAATTCAATCTCTATGTTAATATACATTTTATCCCAAAATGTAATGTCTTTTTTTTTTGTCTACAACTCATGCTTTTCCTTACATAATTAAAGTACATGAAACAATATATGCACCACGTTTTAAATAGAGTAAGGTCAAATTTTCCTTTGAATATCATTATAAATTATATTTAAAATAGACATTATAATCTTTATTAACAAACTACTTTTACTTTATTTAAAATTATCTTAAAAACAGGATACATTTTTTAAAAGATTATTATTTTTTAATTCCTACGGGAGTCCATAAGATTATACATTTTTGTGAAAGGATCTGTGAATTTAAAAATTTAGAAAACACAGGTCAAGGGAGGTTACTTATGTGACTCTTAACAGCAACTGACAGAATTCCAGCCCCTAATGTTTACTGGCTTATTAGTAAACCAATCAAAAAATTCTTAAAATACAAAAAGGACCAAGAGAAATTAATTGGAAAATTCATTCATTTAATAATTGTATACTTTTAATGTCAAATTCTAAAAAAAAAAAAAAAAAAAAAAGGAAATTCACCCATTACTAAAATTAACTTCTCTAAGTGAAAAACAGAAAATTCTCAATAGGTAAGCATGTAAATAAACAGCTAGAACTGAAGTCCACCCAAAACGCAAACTGAAAAAAACTGAAAACTTAATTAAAAATTTAAAGGGTCCAAGCATGGTGGCTCTCATCTGTAATCCCAGCACTTTGGCAGGCGCAGATGAGAGGATTGCTTGAACCCAGGAGTTCGAGATCAGCCTGGGCGACATAGTGAGACCTCATCTCCACAAAATTAAAAAATTAGCCAGGCATGGTGGTGCGCACCTGCAGTTCTAGCTACTCAGGACGCTGAGGTGGGAGGCACTTGAGCCCAGAGGCTCAAGGTGGTCAAGGCTGCAGTGAGCAGTGATTGCACCACCGCACTTCAGCACGGGTGACAGGGTAAGCCCCTGTCTCAAACACTCGAAGATCAATCCACTAGCAGAAAAAGAAAAAAAACTTTTTCAATGTTTTAATTGAAAGGATATCGAACCATGGTCTCAGTGATAAAAGAAAAGCAGTTAAAGAGATATGACATAAAGAAAATGAAAAGTGGGAAAAAAGCAAGACAAATATAAGAAAGCCCTCATAAGAAGGAAGTCACGTTAATAATAACAGAGCAGTTTGAAGTATAGAAAGAAAAGGGAAAATGGAAGGAACAAAGTAAAAATGAAAGATGAGAACAGTATATAGTATATAGATGGAAGTCACTTGCCAAAATGCATTTGGGAATTCACAGAAAATAGGAGAGTACTATTTAAGTGGGAAACAAGTATCATAGTAAGTTAATGGCCAATTTCCAGACACAAGTATTTCAAAAAGTACAACTATAGTTTCATTTCAGTTTTGGAAATATGATTGTATTAACAAGAAAAACCAGTGTAAGATTTCTGTTCAATCATAACACTAGGTACTCACTTCTGTATTTCTTAAGATAAAAATAACCTACAAATGTATTAAATCACTTAATCACATTTATATGATCAAAACTGTTCTGATCATAAACACACACTCTCCTTTTTCTCCTGCGTACATACCTGTCCTCTATACTGCGGTAAATAAAAAGCATCTGCCCATCTTGGGAACCTTTCATCGAGGTAAAGTCTATGGTAATTTGTTACAGAAGCCCTAACTGACTAACCCTAGTCAGCTGGCTCTACCTCCCTCCCTCTGTATGTTAGGAATTGTTCTACTGTAAGTGGAAGGAAATCCAACTCTAACCGGCTTAAGAAAAACATGGACTGCAGTACTTCACAAACCAAAAACTACACCTTCAGGCAAGTTTTGATCCAGAGATTCAGAAAGTTATCAGGTCTCCGGCTCCATTTCTCTGCCATCCTCCATCTTCTGGGAGTTGTTCTGACCTGAGGTGAATTCCTTACAGCAGCAACGCTAACTCTTAACAGTTCTAGGCATTATGGCCTCGCCACACAGAAAAGAAGGCAACACATGTCCTTCTAAACGCCCACAGAGGAAAGGGATCTCCGACAAAAGTCCTGAGATTCACTCTGATTGAGTCCATTAAAATCAATCATAAACCCATTTCAAAACAATCAGCACGGCCAGAAACTGGAATGCCCTGAGGGCTTATCCTAGGTCAAGCATAAACCCAGAAGCTGGAGATTGTTGGGAAGGGACAAAAAGAGGCCATTATAACCTTACAACCTCACCCCCTTCCTTCCATTACACCCCTCACAAGTTATGTTCCAACAACAGGCACCTACATTCAGTTCTCCAGGTGCTGTGGGTTGTACTGTGTTCCCCAAAAAGATATGTCAAAGTCCTAACCCTGGGTCCCTGTGAATGTGACCTTATTTGGAAACAGGGTCTTGGCAGATGCAACAAAGTTACGATGATGTCATACTCGTTCATCCACTATGACTGGTACCCTTAAGAGAAAAGACAGAGACACAAAGGGAGGGAGAGTATCACATGAGATTGAAGGGACGGAGGCAGAGGCTGAAGTGATGCATCTACAAGCCAAAATGCCAAGGACTGCTGGCAACTCCAGAAGCGAAGAGAAAGGCATGGAACAGATCCTCCCTGAGAGTCTTCAGAGAGATCGTGGCCCTGCCAGTACCTTGATTGCAGGCTTCTAGTCCCCAGAACTATGAAAGAATAAATTTCTGTTGTTTTATGCCATGAGTTTGTGGCACTTCACTGTAACAGCCCTTGGAAATTAATACACTAAGTATGATAATCCATAATTCTTTGCCTTTGCACATCAACTCTTCATTCCTTCTGGAATGTCTTTCTCCCCCAGATGGTCTACTCACACTAAACCTCTCAGACCTGCCCAAATGTCCTCTCTTCTGTGATGTCTTCCACCAGAACCCCCAAAAGAGTTAAGTCAATCACATCTTAGTCCAGCACCACATATTGCCTGTATTTTTATTATGAAATTCTAATTGCTGTGTACGTAGCTGTCTTCCCTTCATAGTTATAACTTCTCTTAGGGGAAAGCAAGGCCTGATTCTTACACACCTTCATATCCTCAAGGAAGGGCACAGTACCTAACACACAATATTCAGCAGATATTTATGAAGTGAATTAGCAGATGACTCATTTCAAAAGAAGATAATAGGGGTCAGGTGCAGTGGCTCATGCCTGTAATCCCAGCACTTTGGGAGGTCAAGACGAGATGATCTCTTGGGGACAGGAGTTCCAGATTGGCCTGGGCAACATAGTGAGACCTCATCTCTACAAAAAATTTAAAAATTGGCTGGGCACACTGGCCTGTGATCCCAGCCACTTGGGAGGCTGAGGTGGCAGGATCACTTGAGCCCAGGAGCACTGCCCTCCAGCCTAGATGACAGAATAAGACCTTGTCTCTCAAAAAAAAAAAAAAAAAAAAGGGTATGAATTATAGATTATAGAGAACTGAAGGTGGGCCTTGGTAAGTAGAGATGAAAAGAAAGAATGGGGGAGCAGTGAGGAGGGAGGTGCTGAATTTAGCAAACACAGAAAAACTACGAAGTAGAAAGATTTGGTTAGGAAAAAAAGGGATGTGAAAGGAATGGGATCCTTCTGCTGAGGATCATTTTAGAGGTAATAAAAGAAGCAAAATAAGAGACACATGTTTTTGTTTTTTATTACACTTTAAGTTCTGGGATATATGTGCAGAACGTGCAGATTTGTTACACAGACATACACGTGCCACAGTGGTTTACTGCACCCATCAACCCATACTCTACATTAGCTATTTCTCCTAATGCTATCCCTCCCCTATCCCCCTACCCACCGAAAGCCCCAGTGTGTGATGTTCCCCTCCCTGCTCCCACTTACGAGTGAGAACATGCGGTGTTTGGTTTTCTGTTCCTGTGTTAGTTTGCTAAGAATGATGGTTTCCAGCTTCATCCATGTCCCTGCAAAGAACATGAACTCACCATTTTTTATGGCTGCACAGTATTCCACGGTGTATATGTGCCACATTTTCTTTATCCAGTCTATCACTGATGGGCTGGATAGCCCATCAGTGGTTGGTTCCAAGTCTTTGCTATTGTGAATAGTGCTGCAATAAACATACGTGTGCATAGAGACACATGTTTTTTAGAAGACTGATATGACAAAGTGTGAAGCAGACTCTGCAGGTGTAAGAAAACAGTAAAAGTGCAACAGAAGCAGGTCAGCAATGAGGTGAAGGGTTAGGTACATTAGAATGGCAGCAGAAGAAATGGAAAGAAACAAATTTATACAGTGTGAGAGCAGAAAAAAACAAACAGGTAGAAAGAGCCAAAGATTACTGCTAAGTTTTGACCTTTGGTTAGCTAAATTTGGATTTAGCTAAAACAAATAAGGAAGTACAAAGAAAAAGACTATTTTTTTCAATGAGGATAGAAGTTTGGTGTTATACATGATTCAGTATGAGGTGACAATAAAAGATGCCCACCAAACAGTGGATGACAGAGAAGTTCAGGAGCAATATAAGGACAGAAGACATATATGGCAGTCATGTGGGTAAAGACGACTTTTTTAAAAGTCATAAGAAGTAAATTACAGAATTTTATTCCTTCATTCAACAGATATTTACTGCTCACTATGCTCCAGGCCCCTGCCCTCATGGAACTTACATTGCACTGGGGAAAGCAGATCAGCCTAAACTGGACTTGTGAACTATGCTCCAGGCCCCTGCCCTCATGGAACTTACATTGTACTGGGGAAAGCAGATCAGCCTAAACTGGACTTGTGAACTATGCTCCAGGCCCCTGCCCTCATGGAACTTACATTGCACTGGGGAAAGCAGATCAGCCTAAACTGGACTTGTGAACTATGCTCCAGGCCCCTGCCCTCATGGAACTTACATTGCACTGGGGAAAACAGATCAGCCTAAACTGGACTTGTGAACTATGCTCCAGGCCCCTGCCCTCATGGAACTTACATTGCACTGGGGAAAGCAGATCAGCCTAAACTGGACTTGTGAACTATGCTCCAGGCCCCTGCCCTCATGGAACTTACATTGCACTGGGGAAAACAGATCAGCCTAAACTGGACTTGTGAACTATGCTCCAGGCCCCTGCCCTCATGGAACTTACATTGCACTGGGGAAAACAGATCAGCCTAAACTGGACTTGTGAACTATGCTCTGGGCCCCTGCCCTCATGGAACTTACATTGCACTGGGGAAAGCAGATCAGCCTAAACTGGACTTGTGAACTATGCTCCAGGCCCCTGCCCTCATGGAACTTACATTGCACTGGGGAAAGCAGATCAGCCTAAACTGGACTTGTGAACTATGCTCCAGGCCCCTGCCCTCATGGAACTTACATTGCACTGGGGAAAGCAGATCAGCCTAAACTGGACTTGTGAACATAAATTTAGGGCTTGAGGTTGACATCACTTAGTAATTACTATAAGAAAAAAGTTTTAACTTTTCACTTCTTCACATTTTGTTTTCAAGAATTTTCTTTCTTTCTTTCGAGACAGAGTTTTGCTTTTGTTGTCCAGGCTGGAGTGCAATGGCACAATCTCGGCTCACTGCAACCTCTGCCTCCTGGATTTGAGCGATTCTCCTGCCTCAGCCTCCTGAGTAGCTGGGATTACAGGCGCTCGCCACCATGCCTGGCTAATTTTTTGAATTTTTAGTGGAGACGGGGTTTCACCATGTTGGTCAGGCTAGTCTCGAACTCCTGACCTCAGGCGATCCGCCCGCCTCAGCCTCCCAAAGTGCTGGGATTACAGGCGTGAGCCACTGCGCCCAGGCAAGAATTTTCATTTCATTAGTTAAAAAGGTATTTATGTCCTCAGATCGTCAGCCAGAGAGACTGAAGTGAATTTAAGATTTTTAAAATGTTAGCTTTCCTATTGTAAAAATCTATTTTCCTTCCTTTATTTCTCAAAATGTTTGTTGGAATTAGGTCAGTCCTTCAAAGAACGTCCATAAAGAGTGACTGGACTCAGAAAAAAATGAGACGCCAAATGGTATAATAAAAAGAACACAGGTTTGGGCATTAGACAACCCTGAGTTCAAATCTCAATTTTGCACAACTTCTGTGACCTTGGACAAGTTATTCAGTACATCCAAGTTTACTCATCTGTGAAATGGGAATAACTTCACTCTAAGGACTAAAAGGGAGTTATTTCTAATAGGCAGTTGGCACTATATACATATTTTTTGTTTTGCTTTGTTTTTTTGTGACAAGGGTCTCGCTTTGTTGCCCAGGATGGAATGCAGTGGCATGATTATGGCTCACTGCAGCCTCAACCTCCTGGGCTCAAGCCATCCTCCTGCATCAGCCTCCCATGTAGCTGGGACCACAGGCACATGCCAACACACCCAGCTAACTTTCTTTTTTTTGGTAGTGAGGAGCTCTCACTTTGTTGCCCAGGTTGGTCTCAAACTCCTGGGCTCAAGTGATTCTTCTGCCTCTGCCTCCCAAAGTGTTGGGATTACAGGTGTGAGCTACTACACCCACCCACTATTATTACTGTATGTGCTGGGCACAAAACAGATGTCTGATAAGTGCTTAGTTCCTTTCTTTTTTTTTCTACAGAAGGTACATCTTAACATTATCAGGCTCAATCCAATTCACCAGATTATTCTATTCAATTCTCCCAAACATTTTCTACAGCAGGAACTTAAAAGAATTGAATGAATATTAAATTCAAAAATGAGCTTAATTTATCCTATGGGCATATTTATCCTTCGAAGAAAAATTACACTGGTGACCTTACAAGTAGAAAAAAATGATCACTGAATTATGAAGATTCACATAAGAATGAACGAAAGTGGTACTGCCTTAGAAATCACACACCAAAGATTCTATAGGTATTTTTATTAAACTGACATCCTTTAACTTATCCTTTAAAATCAGTCATTTCTATGTCATCTTTTATTTAGAAAAAATGTTACTAACTACAATAATTCAATAATCTAAATTTTATATAACACCCTCAGAGTTGTCCTGAGGATTAAATAATACAATGTACATGAAAATGCTCTGTGGCACATAGTCTGCACTCAGTGATAACCTTAGGGAAATCCACTCCTCGTTAGCCTACGTTCCCTTCAATTAATGAAAAAACCCTATAACGGCAATTATAACACAGGATTTACAGGACTAAAAAGCTCAAAAAACACTCCAACTTGATGCCATTCTAAATCAGAAAGGTATTCATTTAATGTCTTTTAATAACAAAGAGGTTTGTAAGTTCAATCAAGATACAAGCCACTGCAATCAAAACCAACATTTCACTCTTGCCCCCAAAAGAATACTTGGACTAAATTTTTTTTTTTTTTTTTTTTTTTGAGATGGAGTCTCACACCCTCGCCTGGTCTGGAGTGCAATGGCGCAATCTCGGCTCTCTGCAACCTCCGCTTCCCGGGTTCAAGCAATTCTCCTGCCTCAGCCTCCCGAGTAGCTGGGATCACAGGCGCCTGCCACCATGCCCAGGTAATTTTTTGTATTTTTAGTAGAGACGGGGATTCACTATGTTGGCCAGGCTGGTCTCAACTCCTAACCTCTTGATCTGCCCGCCTCAGCCTCCCAAAGTGCTGGGATTACAGGCGTGAGTCACCGCGCTTGGCCTCGACTAAAATTTTATTGAGTTTTTGTTGTTGTTGTTGTTGTTTTGAGATGGACTCTCGCTCTGTCACCCAGGCTGGAGTGCAGTGGTGCGATCTCGGCTCACTGCAAGCTCTGCCTCCCGGGTTCACGCCATTCTCCTGCCTCAGCCTCCCGAGTAGCTGGGACTACAGGTGCCCGCCACCACGCCCGGCTAATTTTTTGTATTTTTAGTGGAGACGGGGTTTCACCAAGTTAGCCAGGATGGTCTCGATCTCCTGACCTCGTGATACACCGCCTCGGCCTCCCAAAGTGCTGGGATTACAGGTGTTAGCCACCACGCCTGGCCTACTGAGTTTTTTTTAAAAGACCAGAGTCATAAGTTCCTCCTACTTTCATTTTTAAAAATGCAAAATCCCAAAGCCCACAAAATATAATGGTATCATCAGGACCAAAGTCATAATTGTCTACCCAGGAAACAGCACTGACATCACCTAGAATCAGCTCAAAGGGAATGTCCACAATAAGCAGGGGAGTCCCTTCACTCACCTGTGACACTATTTGAGACAACCAGTGTCAGGACTGCCTGTTCCCTGCAACAAGTAGCTCTTATCCAATCCTCTGGGCTTTCCATGTGGACTCTCAGAGAGAGCTCCCTGGCAATCTCCCTCATAGGTCGATGACTCCAAACTTAACATCTGCCAGGTGTGTACTCTGAGAGCACCCCAAACTCAGCATGCATGCAATTAAATGTCTAACACCTGCTCCTGTGTCCCTGTGTCTGTTAATGGTATCACTGTCCTCTCAACCACCCAAGACAGGATCTAGTTTTCTTTCCCTCACCATCCCCCACCTTTCCAAGAGCAAACCAGTTTACACGGAAGACTTGTCCATTTCACCTCTACAAGCTCTCATTACCACTGCTCTGACCCATGCCAACAGATCCCACCTAGCTGCCCCCTATCTCTCATGCCCAAAGTGAGTGTACCTACTCTGAACATTACAGATTGATCTTGCTATGAAGTCCCCTTCCCACACCGCTGGTCCCCACTGCCTACCACAGTGTCCCAGGTTTTCAGAACTTGAAGGATCCTCGTCTGACTCAACCATCCATTCACCTGACCTTGGAAGCTTCTCAAATGGAAAATGCCCTGGCCTCACCTTCAAGGCCATTTGTATTCTGGCTCCAATCTAAAAGCCTATAATGTCATGAAAATAGGCGTGAACTACGCCATTTCACAGCTCTTGGGCTAAAGGTCAAAATTCTCAATCCAACCCACAGATCTCCACTTGGCCTGGCTTCCCGCCTTTCTCTCCAGTCTTGCCAAGCTCCCCTTTGCTCTCTCTGCTCCTGCCACCTGGCCTTCCATCCGCTTCAACCCCAAGCCTCTGTACCTGCTGGCCCCTCAGCACCCCACCCCTCACGCAGGTAGTACCATCTCACCCCTCAGACTTCACATCGCTTCCTCAGTGACTTACCTTACCCCTAGACTAAGTCAAGTCCTCTGTTTGTCTCCTGCTCTTTACCTCCACAGCCTTAAACAAAATTACAATAAAATTTTTGTTGGATTTTTTTACTCCCAAGCTGAAATGTGAGCTCCGTAAGAGCAGGACTGTGCCTGTCTTGTATACCACTGTATCTCACAACCTAAAACATAGGAGCCCTCAACAAATACATGTAGGTTAATGGAATTCATAAATCAGAACACCCTAAGTTACAAAAGCAGCTTCACTGCATCAGTGGTCCTGAAGTAACTTGGTTTCTCCATCCATAAAACTAAAGAGCTCATCTGCTCAACGTTCTCTGAGTTCCTCAGAAGACCTAATATTACCTAAGTCTACAATTTTGCTATTCCAAACTCCTCTCTCACAACTCTCTTCCACATAGGCAGCAGCAAAACTTTACTTTCCAGCCTCCACAACTTTGTTTGCACCCTTCTTTCCATCTGTAATTTTTTTCCAGCTCCACATTTCCAAATCCTACTTAACCTTACATGCTCAAATCCAATGTTACCGCCTCCTCAAAGTCCTCCTTGCATCCCTCCAGCTAGCCACAACCTCTCCATCCCTGAATTCCCACAAGTTCCCTGTTGCCTCATTCAGGTCTCAGATCAAATGTCATTTCAAATGAGAACCCTCTCCAAGAGTCACCACCGGTTATAATTCTCTATCAGACCACGCTGTTTTTATTTTCTTGATAGCATTTACCATTACCTGAAATTACCATGTTTATTTCTCTCATTTATTTACTTGTTAAGTGCCTGTTGCTCCCACTAGAATGTTAAGGTCAATGAGAGCAGAGGCCCTGTCTGTCTTGTTCACATTTCCCCACTCCCCCACATCAGACATGTGTTCAGTAAGCTAAATACCTGTCAAAGGCGTGAATGACTCTGTAACCCTTATGACTAGGGTTATGTGCGCACATTATCTTTCTCTTGCTATATTCCAAACTCCCTGTGGACAAGGCCAAAGTCTGGCTAATCTGTCTGTATTATCTGGAAAATCATTGCACAACTGAAGCAAATAACGATAACTGCTAATTAATTTATTGATTTCTCCAAGAGGAACTGCCCCAAACTAAGCCAATTCAGAACTTCATATTGTCCAGAAACCAAGGCAAATAGGAATCTCCTTCCATTCCCTCTTCACCACAGACCCTATTCCAATTTGCCACCTCCAGGGAGCTTTTGCCAAAAGGCTAGTTTCCTCACTTTCCTTTAGAAGGACCACTGGTCCTTCTATCCCTAATATCTTACAATGCTACCCTTTCCCTTTTATCTCCAGCCAACAAAGCATTTCCAGGGCCCTGTTTCTTCAGAGCACCCCACATCTCCAGTGCATCGGGGAACTCATCGGGTCCTAGGGCACATGTGGATGTTAAAAGGAAGTGTTCAAGCAAACCTGGCTCGACCACCTTTCCTTGGATACCTCGTTTAGCTGAAACACGCCGAGTTTTAGAGCGATCGGCTTTGATGCTCTTTGGGTCCCTCAGCATTCTTCCCATCTAACTAACCTAAGCACCCAAATACCGTCGGGGTGCCCCCACCCTTGCCCCACACCTTTTCACCTTCCAACAGAGAAAGACCCCAGGCCAGAGACGATGATCTCCCCGGAAGCAAATGGCCCTCAAACCCCATAGGGCGGCCCTACCCTCTCCACTTTCTGTCCAGCATCTCCCTCTGACCTGGAGCCGTCTCGAACGCCCCTCAGCCCCAGCCTCTGGTTGGACCCGACCCTCCGACACCACCCGCCACTCACCTGAAGCGGCCCCCGCAGTGCTGGCATTGCTCGCCCACCCAGCCGGCGGGGCAGACGCACTGGCCGGTGCCAGGGTTGCAGCGACCGCCGTTGACACAGGGCCGGTCACATTCCTTGGCCTCGGCTGCGGCTGAGCCCGACACCGCCGCCGCCGCCGCCGCGGCCTCGGCCTCACAGGGCAGCAGCAGCAGCAGCAGCGGCGGCGAGAGCAACAACAGCAGCAGCAGCAGCCGTGGCCGCAGCGGTGGAGACAGCAGCCGCGGGAGGCGCAGCCCGGCCCCCAGCCCCGGCCTCCCAGCCCTGGTCACGTCCCAGTCCCAGTGCGGCCCGCCGCTCCTGCCCGCGAGCGCTGCCGTCGCCGCCGTCCTCCTCCTCAGCCTTGCCTCAGTTGCCGCCGCTGCAGCCACCATCTTCCCGGGGCTGAGACGGCGCCCCGCGAACACATACACACACACCGCACGGCCGGCTCCGCTTCGCCTGGCCGTGCGGGGCGGGGCTGTGCGGACGGTGGCTCGTGCGGTCCAAAGGGGCCACAGCGGGGCGGTGGGCGGGGCCGGCGCGCGCGTGCGCGAGTACGTGGGTGCGTGCGTGCGGGGGCGCAGACAGTGGTCTCCGGCGTCCGCGGCGCCGGAGGCGATCTTCTGACGTGGACCGTAGAACGAGCTGAAACCCGGCTGCGCTGTCCCGGCCGGCGAAAGCTCTAGTTTTCCCCCTTCGCCTTTCGTCCCCGGCGGCGGGGTTGCAGCCCCACTGGATGCCTAGGAGCCGACTGCGTTGAGTGTTGCCCTCCTAGAGACCCGGCACTCTGCCCTAACTCCAGCTGCCGGACGGAAAGGGTACAGGAGGCTGCATCGCAGCGAGGTGCTGGGTGCGGTACTGTAGAAGCCAGGCTTCATTCGAGCCTCTGTAACACAAGAGTCAAGAAAGAACACATGTAGAACCTGGCATAGGCCGGGCGCGGAGGCTTACGCCTGTAATCCCAGCACTTTGGGAAACTGAGGCAGGCGGATCACTTGATCTCTGGGATCCGAGACCAGCCTGGCCAACAGGGTGAGACACTGTCTCTACTAAAAATACAAAAATTAGCCGAGCATGGTGGTGCGCGCCTGTATCCCCAGCTACTCCAGAGGCTGAGGCAGGAGGATCGCTTGAGTCTGGAGAGGTCAAGGCTGCAGTGAGCCGCAGTCGCAGCACTGCACTCCAGCCTGGGCAACACAAGACCCTGTGTCAAAAAATGAAGAACCTGGCATGTAGGCTGTGCTCAGTAAATGCCTAATAAACTGAATGAAGACACACAGCCAGGCCTCTTGATAACAGATGGACTGTAGCTGACCAGACCCCCTACCTTTAATTCTGTAAAAGTTTGGAGTTACCTTGCTCCCCACAATTTGCCCTCCAACCATCTTCTCTGAAGAGTGGGCAATATAGAATTAGGAAATGGCGCTCACACAGACCTGCCCCTTCTTGTCTGGTAGTTGTTACTCTGGTGTCCCTCAATGAGACATGTCTTCCATCAATGTAGCCTTTTATGGTCCTTGACCCTGGAATCTGGGCTGGGTCATGATTGAGACCATGAGAAACCATGACTCAATTTCACCAATAGAAGAAGTTGGTAGGAGTAGCAATGTCTTGTTTCTAGCTCTGAGCTTAAAAAAGACCTGGCAGCCTTGGCCGGGCACGGTGGCTCACGTCTGTAATCCCAGCACCTTGGGAGGCCGAGGCGGGCAGATCACGAGGTCAGAAGTTCGAGACCACCCTGATCGACGTGGTGAAACCCTGTCTCTACAAAAAATACAAAAATTAGCCGGGCGTGGTGGCACACACCTGTAATCCCAGCTACTCAGGAGAGTCGCTTGAATCCAGGAGGCAGAGGTTGCAGAGAGTCGTGATCGCGCCACTGCACTCCAGCCTGGGGGACAGAGCGAGACTCTGTCTCAAAAAAAAAAAAAGACCTGGCAGCCTTGATTTTGAGCTGTTGGTGGTCATGAGCTGCACCCCGTTAGCCACCTTGCTGGAGAGAAACCATGTGCAGAGACCACTTGGACTTGGAGAGGGAGAGCTGGGCCGCTCAGCTGGTGGAGCCATCCTAGCTAAGGGATCAGTCATTGAGTGAAGAAGCTATCTGGGTTGGGTTATTCCAACCGTCTGGGCTGTTCCATGTTACCTACAACAGTAACAGGTCTTTCCTAACTGTGACTTATCCAAAATCCTAAGAAATAACTCATTTATCATTTAACCCTTAAGTGATGAATTATTTATAATTTTTCATAAATTATGATTTATGTTATTTTAAGCCTCTAAGTTTTAGAGAGGTTTGTTACTCAGTAATAGATAAGCAGAACATTGTCCGACATAATGCTTGTGCTATGAGGAATATTCCTATGGCACCTACCTCAGAATCTGGGCACCTTACAGTCCCTGGGAAACAAAGAAAAACCCTCATAGACCTGTGGAGCCTCTCAGCTTTACCTCAGAGTATGGAATTTTAAGGTTCTAAGATGGATTTCCACACTCATACCCAGGTCCCACTCTCATACTCAGGTCCTGACTGTCCTCACTGCATCTTCTTCAAGCCTGGTGAAGCTGAATTGCACAAAAGCCTTACCCCCAGCTCTACATCCACACATACTCCCCATTCCTACAGGAAAACTATTGTTCGGCCTAGGCCCTAGCACTGACATTCTGGTTTGCAGGTTATGTTTTTGCCATGTAGGATTTTGAAATTGAAGACATGGCCCTACCCTCTGGCAGGACCCCATCAGATGGGGAGGCTGGCATAGGCCATGCCCTAGCTGTAGGAGACATTGCTCCCCCTAATCTTCCAGGCCAGAAGTGAACCAGCCCTTTCCTTCCCTTCCCTCCCCACAGCAAGACTGAACCCACACTGTGAAGTTTCACATGATTTTACCAACATTCAGGGATAACAGAAAAGGTGTGCATCTGAAGAACAGCAATCCCTAGACTAGATATTGCTACTCTGAAGCCTTAGAATCTTGCTGCAGCAAACATTCTTTCTTACTTCCTTAATCTACTCTCTTCTCTGGTTCTTTTTCCTTAGCTTTCAAACATGCTCAAATTATTTTGTCCTTAAAAAACAAACACGCTGGGTGCAGTGGCTCATGCCTGTAATCCCAGTGCTTTGGGAGGCCAAGGTGGGAGGATCACCTGAGGCCAGGAGTTTGAGACCAGCCTGGACAACATAGTGAGACCTTGTCTCTACAAAAAATTTTTTAAAAAATTAGTCAGATGTGGTGGCGTGCATGTGTAGTCCCAGCTACTTGGGAGGCTGGGGCAGGGGGATCACAGAGCCCAGGAGTTTGAGGCTGCAGTAAGCTATGTTTGGACCACTGCACTCCAGCCTGGGCAACAGATCAAGACCCTGTCTCTAAAAACAAATAAACAAAGAAACAAAATCTTACCTGCTATCTTCTTTTTCCTTTACTGCGTTTATCAAAAAGTCCCCTACACATTCTATGTCTGTGTGATAGATTAAAGATGGCTGCAAATTCTCTTACATTCCTTCTATGGAGAGATCAGGTCTAACCCTTGGCCCCGGCCCCACCCCCACCCCCACCCCCACCCCACTCTGAATCTAGCCTGGCCTTAGTGATTTGCTTGACTGATAGACTATGGTGGAAGTGATGTACTGGGATTTCTGAGGTCCCAGAAATGGGACTTTATGCTAGGTCATAAGAAGTCTTGCAGCTTCCTCCTGAAGTGTCTTGGAACACTTGCCATAAAAGATGTCCAGCTACCCTGAGACCACCATGCTGTGAGGAAGCCAGCCCCCAGCCATTCAAGTCTTCCCAGTTGGGGCCCCAATCATGAAGCAGGGGGGTGTTGTTCCTGCTGAACCCGCCCCAAACTGCAGATACATAAGCAAATAAATGAGCCAACTGGGGACAGTTCGTTACACAATAATAAATTACCAGAATACTCTGTACCCTGGTTCCTCCAAGGACAAGAATAAGTCTTGTGATGTGGACTTGATTAAGAATTAAGAACGACAGTATAATTGTATATAAATGTATAATCTACAACTAGTCATCTATATGTAATACACTAGTATCATTGTCCAGTTGCTTCTCATGAAGGAGGTCACCGTAGTCACCGTAGCTTCAGAAGTGCCTCTGTTGTACCCCAGTGCCTTATCAGCAAGATTCTGCAGCAGTTCTGCCTGAAATCCCTTTTTTTCCACTGGTCTTTGTCATGGTGGTCATTTCCAGGTCCCAGAAACTGTAATGCCAGTGGCAAAGAATACCCAGGCTTTGATACAAATTACTCTAAGTCCAGACACTAAAATAACATTGTTCTTGCCAACTGCATGACCAAAAGGGTTTGTCTCCACTAGGTTAGTGCAGGATGGTTTGAAGGTGCCTATGCCTATTCTTTTTCACTTAAGTAAGGCATCTTACTCACCTTGGCCCTTTCTCTGATTTCATGTCATCTCTTCCTGTTTCTTTGCTTGCATTGTCTCCAAGTCATGGACATAGATGGATTTTATAATTTTTGGCTTTTACTCATGCAGTGTCTTTGGTCAGATTCCCTAGAAGCAGAACCCTGAAACAGGATCTGAGTGCATAATTCATTGGAAGATTGCTCTCGGAAGAAACACAGTGAAGGAAGCAAGATAGAGCCCAGGAGGGGGTTGAGAAAAGATGTGGTCTGGTCTTATCTAGAGTTGAGCTTCAGCCTGATCCTATGGAGAGCCCTAGAGCATGAATTGTACCATAGAATTGATTCCACTTTGAGGTAAGGGAGCAGCATTTTGTACACACATCTCTTTCAGCAGACAACATTCACAGCAGTAAGAAGGATCCTATAAAGGAAATTTGGGAGGGGTACCAATAGATACAAATAGATAGCTCCATGTATGTGTAATACATATAACAAATGTTTGTTTATCAAATACCTACTAGAAAGCAAAGATTGAATACTGCTCAAGTAAGATCTGATTGACCATCTGACTTTCCCGCAAACATCACCGGTCCTCATTCTGCACTGTTTGAAACATCGATACATTTTATTGTCCCAAAGTTATCCTTATACTTTTAGTCAATGTGTGACCAAGCAATTCTCTAATTATAGGTGTTAAAATCTCACCTAGAAGGTAAGGTACTACGTTGCCTGTGAAAGAGGTTGATCCTGAAGGTTTGGAACAAACACAACTGAGAGGGTTCTAGGTAGGAATAAAGTGCCATTGAAAGCTCCAATGGATATCCCACTGTCAACCAACCAGCAATAAGATTCCAATAGTCCTTGGCAGACTGTAAGAGAAAGTGTTTAGGAGTCCCTGATCTGGGAGCATAAAGTTATACCTCTGAGCTGTTGGCAGAGCTCCTGGTGGCCTCCTCAGACAAGTCCCACAAGTACAGGAGTTCACCTTTATGTCAGCTCAAGGGACAAGACGCTGCACTGGGATGAGCACATCAATTTAAAGGCAGAAGACTTGAAATTTCTATTGGATGAGCTAGATTCATGCCCCCTCCCCCAAATTTCTACAACAGAGAACAAAAATTTTCTCTTGTGTATAGATAAGATACTATGAAAACAGTACTACTGTTAAAAGACAAATGACTTTGCTAAATATGGCCATGAAGTACTTCAAATTAGAAGTTCCCAAACTGAAGCCATCCTTTTGGATTAAAATCCCTTATAATTTCTCCTAATTACAGATGACATATTAGTTTCCTGTGACTGCTATAATAAATTTCCACAAACTTGGTGGCATAAAACCACAGAAATTTAAAAGTTGACAGTGCAGAAGTCCTACTAGTCTGGTTCTTGTTCCCACCTGGGTACCAGCTTCCTTCAGCAGTGTTGGCCAAGGTGCTGGGGGCCAACGAAGGGAAGAGTCAACTTGTGAGAATTTTGCAGGTCTGTTGTTCTTAGCACAATGCAAGGCTAGACAAAGAGGAGAAAGAAACTTACCTGATCAGTGCCAGAAGTTATTGCACTCAAAGGGGAATAAGCAGGAAAAAAGAAAGGAAAGAGGGAAGAAAGGAAAACAAAAGGAAGGAAGGAAAAAGAAAGAAAGAATAGAAGGAAGAAAGAGAAGCCCCACAGACATGAGATGAAACCCTGTCCAAAAATGGAAGGAAGGCCAGAAAATAGTGAACCAAATTTTGAGGAAAAGCCAGAGGAGGAGGAAAATGCAGAAGGAACTTTTAGAGAAAGCTAATTCCATCTCTCCAGAATATAAAGATGTACATAAGAGGCATTTAAGCAATGAAGATATGTTTAGAGAAGTGGATGAAATAGACGAGATAAGGAGAGTAAGAAACAAACTTATAGGGATGTACTGGAAAATTGATCAAAACCATCCTTGCCCCTATTTAATGCAATTTACTTTTATTTTTATTTTATGTGATATTAACAATGCTATATAACTTTCTTTTTATTAGCATTTTTCTGATATACCTTTGTCCATCTTTCTACTTTTAACCTGTTGCTGTTAGTGGCTTCAGATGCATCATTTACCCATATCTCATTGTTTACCATATTTGAACCAATCTTCAAATCTCTTTTATAGAAGAGATTTACTCATTTGTAAAAAAAAAAAAAAAAAAAAAAAAGAGGTTCCTGATAGGATATAAAATGAAAAAAGGGTTACTAAGTAATATGTTAATATCATTTTAATTTTTTAGTTTTTAGGGACAGGGTCTTGCTACGTTGCCCGGGCTGAAGTGCTGTGTCTATTCACAGATGTGATAATCGCATACTACAGCCTCAAACTCCTGGGCTGAAGCGATCCTCCTGCCTCAGCCTTCCCAGTAGCTGGGACTACAGGCACATACCACCATGCCCAATTGTGAATAACATTTTTGAAAGGTAAGAGTACATTTGGATATCACATATATGCACATAAAAACTCGTGAAGGGTGAAAGACAAAAGGTACAATCTCTCCACAGAGGATTATAAAAGATTTTTTTTATCTGCTTACTTGTGTATTCCATATTCCTAAAATGAACACACATGATTATTGCTAAAAACAATAAAAGTTTTAAAACAACAACAAAAACCAACCTACAGAAATGTATTCTCTCACAGTTCTGGAGACCAGAAGTCTGAAATCAGGGTATCAGCAGGCTAGGCTTCTGGAGACTCTAGGGAAGAACCCTTCCCTGCCTGTTCCAGCTCCTGGTGGCTGTCCACATTCCTTGGCTTCCTTGGCTCGTGGTCACAAATCCCATATCTGCCTCCACCTTCACGTCACCTCCCCTCTATGTCCGTCTTCTGTGTGTATCTCCTATAAGGACATTTATTGGATTTAGGGCCCACCTGGATGATCCAGGATGAACTCACCTCAAGCTCCTTAATTAATTACATTCGCAAAGCCTTTTTTTTTTTTTTTTTTTTTTTGAGACAGAGTCTCACTCTGTTGCCCAGGCTGGAATGCAAATGGCATGATCTTGGCTCACTGTAACCTCTGCCTCCTGGGTTCAAGCGATTTTCATGCCTCAGCCTCCCAAGTAGCTGGGACTACAGGTAACCGTCACCACGCCCAGCTAATTTTTGTATTTTTTTTAGTAGAGACGGGGTTTCACATGTTGGCCAGGCTAGTCTCGAACTCCTGACCTCAGGTGATCCTACCGCCTTGGCCTGCAAAGTGCTAGGATTACAGGCATGAGCCAACGTGCCTGGCAACATTTGCAAAGACCTTTTTTTCCAAATACAGTAACATCCAGAGGTTCCAAGGATTAGAACATGGACAAATCTTTTGGGGGAGCCACCATTCAGCCCACTTCACACACTACACAGGTAGTCAATTCACTCAATGTATTCATTTAAGCAACTTATATTTTTTGAGTGGCTGCTGTATACCAGACACTGATCTATGCTCTGGGAGGCAGAAATGAAAAAGGATATCAAAATTCCTCTCTTTCCTCATGCCATTAGAATAGCTTGTATTTAAAATAAAAGAAGAAGAAAAGGAAAAAAAAACAGGCCGGGCATGGTGGCTCACCCCTGTAATCCCAGCACTTTGAGAGGCTGAGGTGGGTGGATCACCTGAGGTCAGGAGTCCGAGACCAGCCTGGCCAACGTGGCAAAACTTCATCTCTAGTAAAAATACAAAAATTAGCTGGGTGTGGTGGCGCATGCCTGTAATCCCAGCTACTCAGCAGACTGAGGCAGGAGACTCGTTTGAACCCGGGAGGCGGAGGTTGCAGTGAGCTGAGATCGCGCCATTACACTCCAACCTAGGCGACAAGAGAGAGAAACTCTGTCTCAAAAAAAAAAAAAAACAAACACACACAAAAAACAGACAATACTGGCATGGTGGTGTGGTGGTGTGTGCCTGTAGTCCAGCTATTCGTAAGGCGAACACAGGAGGATTGCTTGAGCCCAGGAGTTTGAGGCCAGCCTGAGCAACAACATGGCAAGACCCCCATCTCTAAAAACAAAGAAGTCAGACAAACAGACAATAACAAGTGTTGGTGAGGATGTAGAGAAATTGGAACCCTTGTGCACTGTTAGTGGTAATATAAAATGGTGCAGCCACTATGAAAAACAGTATGGGGGCTCCTCAACAAGTTAAAAATAGAATTACCATTTGATCCAGCTGTTCACTTCTGGGTATATTTCCCAAATAATTGAAAGCAGGATTTTGAAGAGATAGGTGTATTTCCATGTTTATTGTAACATTATTCACAAGAGCCAGGAGGTGGAAGCAACTCAGGTGTCTGTAGATAGATGAATGGGTAAACAAAACGTGGTATAAACATACAATGGGGCCGGGTACACTGGTTCATGCCTGTAATCCCAGCACTTTGGGAGGCCGAAGCAGGCAGATCACCTGAGGTCAGGAGTTTGAGACCAGCCTGGCAAACATGGCGAAAACTCATCTCTACTAAAATACAAAAATTAGCTGGCCATGGTGGCGGGTGCCTGTAACCTCAGCTACTTGGGAGGCTGAGGCAGGAGAATTGCTTGAACCCAGGAAGCAGAGGTTGCAGTGAGCCAAGATTGCTCCACTGCAATCCAGCCTGGGCGACAGAGCAGGGCTCTGTCTCAAAAAAAAAAAAAAGTACTATGGGCCGAGCGTGGTGACTCACAGCTGTAACCCTAATGCTTTGGTAGGCCAAGGCAGGAGGATGGCTTGAGGCCAGGAGTTTGTGACCAACCTAGGCGACAATAGCAAGACTCCTGTCTTTACAAAAGAAAAATTGTTTTAAATTAGCCAGGCACGATGGTGCATACCTGTAGTCCCAGCTACTTAGGACGCTAAAGAGGAGGATTTCTGGAGCCCAGGAGATCGAGGCTGCAGTGAGCCATGATCGTACCACTGCACTCTAGCCTGAGCAACAGAGCAAGAAGCTGTCTCAAAAGTAAAAATAAAAATTAGCAGAGTATGGTGGCATGCACCAGTAGTCCAAGCTACTTGACAGGCTGAGCCACGAGGATCACTTGAGACCAGGAGTTTGAGGCTGCAGTGATCACACCACTGCACCCTAGCCTGAGCGACAGAGGGAAACCTTGTCTAAAAAAAATAAAATAGAAACTTATATACACACATCATGATATGACAATTTATTGATTAATTCTCTTGCTGGACATTTGGGCAGTTTCCAGTTTGAGATTACTATGAATCATGATGCTATGATCATCTGGAAATCAAATACAGGTATTTTGGTGAGTATACATACATTTCTATTGGGTAGATACCAGAGGTTTGCTCATAAATGTTTAGCAACCAGCTCACTGAGAAGAAAAAGCCTTCATGCATAGCACTAGTTGATTTCTATGTTGTAAATACTCCCACCATGACCTATTTCGAGCTCCCATCATGATGTCACTGAGTGTGGAATCGGAAAGAGAGACATAGGCTCAGCCCTCACAAGCCAGTGGGAACCAGCTCCAGCACCATGTACGCCTGGGAGGTCTACTGAGAAACAGATGCCAAAACCAAATTAGACATACAAGGGCTTTACTGGGGGAAATGTCTGTGAAGGATAAAGCGGAAGCAAACAGGAAATGGCAAGAGAGGATTCAGACAGGAATAAAAATCTGACAGCTGTGAAGGAAAGCGGGAAGAAAAGATTGGTTAAGAAGAGTGTCAGATGTCAGTGCAGTTTCAATGAAGGCTCTCCCAGGCCAGTGGGGAGTCCTGGAGCCAGAGTTGTCTGTCAGAGCAGCAGCATCTTGCAGGAATCAGCCTGCAGTAGCACAAACGCAGTGGGGGACCCGGAGGGGGAGCAGCTGGGGCTGCCAGTCAACTCCGCTCCCCACGGCAGGAGAGCTGAACGATGAATTTTCACGGTTGCCACAACTGGCAACATTCCTTTGCGCCATCTCCATGTAGATGTGAGGTGGCTCTCAGACAGTGTCCCCTCCAGGTGACCTGTTTTTCACAAGTTAGATACACAACCTGGGCTTGGCTGACTTGTTTGGAAGCTGGACTGGCTGTTTTAGACTTAATAAGCCCCAGATTTCTTGGGTTTATTCAGTAGAAAAGAGAGGGTCTCAAGAGGAAGACATTGGTTTTTTTCCTAATAAGAACAGATAAGTATTCTAATTGTTAACTAAAGAAATTGGCCGGGTGCAGTAGTTCACGCCTGTAATCCCAGCACTTTGGGAGGACGAGGCAGGCGGATCACCTGAGGTCAGGAATTTGAGACAAGCAATGCCCAACATGGCAAAACCCCAACTCTACTGAAGATACAAAAAATTAGCCAGGCATGGCAGCGTGCGCCTATAATCCCAGCTCCTTGGGAGGCTGAGGCACAAGAATTGCTTGAACCCGGCAGGGCGCGGTGGCTTACGCCTGTAATCCCAGCACTTTGGGAGGGCGAGGCGGGCTGATCACAAGGTCAGGAGATCGAGACCATCCTGGCTAACATGGTGAAACCCCATCTCTACCAAAAATACAAAAAATGAGCCGGGCGTGGTGGCGGGAACCTGTAGTCCCAGCTACTCAGGAGGCTGAGGCAGGAGAATGGCGTGAACCCGGGAGGCGGAGTTTGCAGTGAGCCGAGATTGTGCCACTGCACTCCAGCCTGGCAACAGAGCAAGACTCCGTCTCAAAAAAAAAAAAAAAAAGAATTGCTTGAACCCAGGAGGTGGAGGTTGCAGTGAGCCGAGATCATATCACTGCACTCCAGCCTGGGCAACAAGAGTGAAACTCCATCTCAAAAAAATAAAACAAAAAAAAGAACAAAGCACATTGTCCTGGCACCACCAAAAGCACCATCTCTGTTTCTCATGCTTACTCAAGGCCCTGATACAGACCACTGCCAAGGTTGTGATCAAGGCCTCTGATGCCTGCACAGAGGTCCCTATCTCATGTTGCTGCCAAAGCCACTGGCACCAACTCCCATTATCTGAGAAGCCACTGGCAGTGAAGCAGCCTTTTTTATGGTGAAGTGGTTCTTGCGTTCACTTGCACTGTGACTGTGGCAGGAACCCCAAGATGGGGGAAGGGTGGCACATAACCCTGTGTGCAGAACTAGCTGACCAAAAGCCTGTGACTAGAGGTATAGCCCAGATTACAGTGTTTACCAAGTTAAACAGACTGCAGCCAGATTGGCATATCAAAAATGGCTCAAGGAACAGGGAGAGTTTAGCTATGAACCCAAGCAAGGCAGGGCCAAGGGCACTGATTGTGGACAAGGTTCAAAGAGGACAGAAAGCAGACCTGCAAGATGTCCACAAGCTGGAGTCCTAGGCTTGAGGCAGCTTTGAAGTCTGTGGCTGTGGCCATAGTCTGGGTCCCCAGACAACAGTCCCTGTCTCCCATATGCATTTTAAGGGAGGCTGTCATTTTTTGTTTTTTGGTGTTTTTTTCATGTGGAAAGTTCCGCAAGATCTCTGGAGATTCAGGAGCCTGATGGCAAGAAGTCAAGCCCAGCCTCCCCTATAGTCACAAAGAGTGTATGAGCCGAGAGCCTCCTGCCACACACACACACACACACACACACACACACACACGCACACACACACACACACCAGCATTCTTTCCAGACAGCATCCTCTCTGCTTTCCACACAGGTAGATGCCAGATCTACCTTTCCCAACAGGGCTGCCAAAGCTGGACTTTGTTCCAACTGAATGATGTCATTCTCACAAACCAATTCTCTATATTGTTTGAAATCTGCACCTAGATATTGATTTCATGTTGTGGGTCAGGCGCGGTGGCTCACACCTGTAATCCCAGCACTTTGAGAGGCCGAGGTGGGCAGATCACTTGAGGCCAGGAGCTCAAGACCAGCCTGGCCAACATGATGAAATCCCATCTCTACTAAAAATACAAAAATTAGCTGGGTATGGTGGTGGGAGCCTGTAATCCCAGCTACTCGTGAGGCTGAGGCATGAGAAACGCTTGAACCTGGGAGGTAGTGGTTGCAGGGGGCCAAGATCGCACCACTGCACTCCAGCCAGGGGGACAGAGTGAGACTCTGTCTCTAAATAAATAAATAAATAAATAAATAAATAAATAAATAAATAAATAAATGATTTTATGTTTTAAAGAAACTCTCCCGAATTACAATTATGCCCGATGTAGGGTGGCTCTTGGGGGGTAAGTAAACAGTACAGGGCGTTAGAAACATGCTCAACTCCTCCAGAACAAAATTGCTCCTGAGTTCCATGGCCTTGGAACATATTTCTGTCACTCTGGTTGGTTGGGCTGGTCCTTAGCCTGGGTGCTTATAAGCAAAAGGGCTTGCTTATAAGCCCTCTAGTCATTCACAGTTCAGTGTGAGAGACTGACATCTAAACAGGCAATTAGGATTCGGAGTGCTCACTGCACGGGGGCTTGTAGAGAGATGAGCTTGCTGTCAGTGCACCCAGGAGGGCCACACACTTACGGTGTCTGTGGGTCAGACACGGCTTCATAGCACTGGGGCATTCGAGTGTGTCTTAGAGGAAGAGGAGAAACATGGCAAGCAGATTATGTCTGAATAATGTGAGTTGTGTTTTTCTTTCTTCCCATATTTACTATCTAAGACCTGCCTGAACTTAGCGGCTCAAGAGACATGTACGTATGTATGTATGGACGGATATGGATATACCTATGTATCTATATATATATATATATTTTTGAGACAGGGTCTCGCTGTGTCACCCAGGATAGAGTGCAGTGGCACAATCACAAGCCCTCATGCAATGGAGCCTCAACCTCCCGGACTCAACTGATTCACCCGCCTCAGCCTCCCAAGTAGCTGGAACGACAGGCATGCAGCACAAAGTCTGGCTATTCGTTGTTGTTGTTGCTGTTGTTGTTGTTATTTGTAGAGATGCAGTCTCCCTATATTGCCCAGGCTGCAGTGATCCTCCTACTTCAGCCTCCCAAAGTGCTGGGATTACAGGCATGTGCGACTGCACCCAGCCTCAAGACATTTTTGACAAAGCCCCCTACCCGTTCCTGAGGTAGTGAGTGCAACCTCACAACAGACAACAGGCAAGCCAGATCCCTAAAACCTGATTTCTCTAGGCTCGGCCTGGCCTGACCCTGTCCTACCAGCTGGGTTTGCATGCCATACTCCAACCCTTCCTTTTTAATACCCACTCCCAAACCTCCTCCTAACTATCACCTTTCTTTTCCCTTTGAAACCTGTCTTCCCCTCCCAAATTACTTTTAAGCATTTTTGGCTTTAAAGTATCCTGACCCCAATGTCTTTGACCTCATGGGACTTCTGAAAAAGGTGTCTCAGGGAGTGGGGCTGTGCTTCCCTAGGACTTATGTCACTCTCAGAGGTCAGAACCTTGGAGATCATAACTGATTCTCAACAGGTGTGAGGGGTGTGATATCAGATTGCTATGCCAATCCGATAGTGGAGTATGGCACACTACGTACTCCCTGCAAAGGAACAACATCAGAGTCTGTGGGCAGACACTGGCTCCCTATGGTTTGCAAACATACTCCCCCGATGGTTTTGCTGAATCCCCTCTCCCTGGTAGGGAACCCCACTGGATTAGTCTGGCTCTGGTGTAGAGAAGTTAAAGGACTCACTCAAGATCATGATGAAGTCATGCTGTAGAGCCAGGATTCCCGGACCCAGGCCTCTGGACTCTCAGGGCTGGCCCCACGTGCTCAAGGGGATCTAATGTTTGAGCTCCAAAGCAACCACCTTGGAGCTGGGATCCTCATTTACTGCCAAACCCTCAGCTTATACAGGTAGGAGAAAGAGCCCTGGAGTGAGAAGACCTGGGTTTTCAAATTGATGCTCCCCTACTTACTAGCTGTGCCATTTTGGGCAGATTCCGTTCCCTGGCCTCTGTTTCCACATCTGTAAAGAAGGGATGATGATCCCACCCCCAGTGCTGTTGCGAGGATTACCTGAACGCACCTGCCCTGGCTCTGTACCTGGCACATAGTAGGTGCTCCGTATATGCTGGTTCCTTCTTTTATTAAGGACCTGCTCTCTCCTCACACTTGGGCTGGACCCTGCTGCGAGGGAGGTGGGAGGAGGTCCTGTCCTCAGAGAGTTAACTTTCCTATTGAGAAACAACTACCCCACTTGGGACACTCAAGAAACCACCCAAGGCAATGGACAAGGAAGAACGTGCTCTCCTCCTCACTGCCTGCTGCTCAGCTCTGATTCTGCTTGGGAATGGGCAGAGCACTTGGGCTGCTTACCTGCTGGATGGGACGAGTTCTTTACCCTTCTCTGGGCCCGTGAATCCCTGGTTTGCTTTATGTTCTGATTTGACACATCAGATCATAAATCATGATCACTGAGTGCAGAGGAAGGAGGCATTCTGTCAGTAGTAAATACATGTTGGTGTGGAGACTGAGACCACGCTGAGTGGAATCTAGTTCTTAATTTTTATTATTAATACAAGAGATCAGATTAATTTAAATATGATTCTGAAGTGTATAAAACTTTTAGCTGTGGAACTTCTATGCTATCTGTATGTGGGAACTTTGGTAAAATACAAATAAGATATAGATGTTATTGTTGGTCTGGTGAGCTGTTTAATATTTGTGGCAGACAATTTAAAATTAACATCTTTTTTTTTTTTTTTTGAGACGGAGTCTCTCTCTGTCACCCAGGCTGGAGTGCAGTAGCGCAATCTTGGCTCACTGCAACTTCCACCTCCCAGGCTCAGGGGATTCTCCTACCTAGGCCTCCTGAGTAGCTGGGATTACAGGCACGCACCACCACGCCCGGCTAATTTTGTATTTTTAGTAGAGATAGGGTTTCGCCATGTTGGCCAGGCTGGTCTCGAACTCCTGACCTCAAGTGATCCGCCTGACTCAGCCTCCCAAAGTGCTGGGATTACAAGCGTGAGCCACCGCGCTCAGCCTAAAAATTACATCTTAATGCTTCCTTTGTCTATGGGGTTCTGTCTTCTTCAATAGCCATCCATGCATACTAGATCATGGGGTCCTCTCTAATCCTTCCGCAAATCAAATAAGCTATTTCTATTGGTGTTTTCTCTCTTTCTTTCTTTCCTTCCTTCCTTCCCTTCCTCGCTCTTTCTTTCTCTCTCTCCTTCCCTTTATCTCTCTTTCTCTCCTTCCTTTCATTCTTTCTTTCCTTTCTCTCTCTCTCTCTCCTTCCTTCCTTCCTTTCTTCCTTCTTTCTTTTCTCACTCTGTCGCCCAGGCTGGAGTACAGTGCTGCAATCTCCGCTCACTGCAACCTCTGCCTCCCAGGTTCAAGTGATTCTCCTCCTTCAGCCTCCTGAGTAGCTGGGATTACAGATGCCCGCCACCACCCCGACTAATTTTTGTATTTTTAGTAGAGACGGGCTTCAGCCATGTTGGCCAGGGTTGTCTTGAACTCCTGATCTCAGGTGATCCACCTGCCTCGGCCTCCCAAAGTATTGAGATTACAGGCATGAGCCACGGCGCCCAGCCTATTGGTGTATTTCAATCTTTATTTTTAGTAAAAGATGAAAGATTAAGACGATCTGAAAAGAAACTAGAGTATGCTATTGCTTTAAAGTTGAGACACCAGTCTCAGAAACTTCTGAAACCTGCCTAAGCTAATTCTGAATTACCCAAAGATTATGTAAAATTTTAAAATAAATGTGTTTTAAAAAAATAAAAAGAATGCAGCTAACACACAAGTGATGGAAGCCACCCCCTCACACATACACATTCCCTCCCACAGCAGACATGGCCTGACTTGAGCTATTTCAGTTTGGGGAGGGGAGGTTTTTGTTTATGTGTCCCCAGAAGCATATTCTGAGACAAGGAATCCATTGCAAGGAGTTTATTTGGGAGGTAAGGGAAAACACTGGTGGGAGAGGGGGAAAGTAAGACAACTAATATAGGGCGCATTATCAAGCCAGTTACCACTGTGTACAATTGGAGCACAATCTCATGGGGAACTCTGGGAGCCTGCATAGAACACGCTCCACAGTGTTATCCCACTACAAGGAGTGAGGGGGCTGCGGTATTTATACGTCAACTCCCATCAGTCATTGGTTAAGAGTAGCTCCCAAGGAGGGAGAAACATTCATTCTTCGTACTTCTGGCCTGCTGTGCAGGTGGCAAAGTAGGGAACAGTCAGAGAAAGCCTTAAGGCAAAGAAATGCACATACTGGCAGCTGGAAATCAGCCCAGAATGCACTAAAGTGGCAAGAACAAGGGTATGGGCAGAGCAATGACAGTGTTTATTGCAAGAAGTGGGAGAGCTTTTCTTCAATTGTGAACTAACTATGTTATCTTAAATGGGGACTTTTTAGCATTTTTGAAATTGGTAGGCACACGTGTGAATAGCAGGCAGTTAAAGAAGCGAAATGCAGCAGGGTGCAGTGTGATCCCAACACTTCGGGAGGCCAAGGCGGGAGGAATGCTTGATCCCAGGAGTTAGAGATTAGCTTAGGCAACATAGCAAACCCCATCTTTACAAAAAAAATAAAAATAAAAAAAGGAGATCCTGCCATTTGCAATAGCATGGTTGAACCTGGAAGACATTATGCTAAGTAAAATAAACCAGATACAGAAAGAAAAATACTGCATGATCTCACTTATATGTAGGATCTTAAAAAAAAAAAAAAAAAAAAAGGCAAGGCCAGGGTGGTGGCTCACACCTGTAATCCCAGTGCTTTGGGAGGCTGCAGCAGAAGGCTCACTTGAGTCTAGCAGCTCGAGACCAGCCCAGGCAACATGGTGAAACTTGATCTCTACGAAAAAATTAAAAAATTAACTGGATGTGGCCACGCATGCCTATAGTCCCATCTACTCAGGAGACTGGGGTGGGAGGACCACTTGAGCCCAGGAGGTCAAGGCTGCAGTGAGCCTTGATTGTATCACTGTACTCCAGCCTGGGCAACAGAGAGAGACCCTGTCTGGGGGGAAAAAGTTGAATGCATAGAGAATAAAACAGTAAAACAGTGGTTATGGGGGTGAGGAGGAGGAAATAGGGAGACGTAGGTCAAAGAATACAAAGAGTAGGTATGTAGGACTAAGTAGTCCAGAGACCTGACAAACAGCATGAGATTTACAGTTAGTAATAATGCATTGTAGTTGAGATTTTTTGCTAAAAGAATAGATTTTAGTTGCTTTTGCCACACACAGAAAAAATGGGTAATTATGTGAGGTGATAAATATATTACTTTCCTTGACTATAGTAACCATTTCACTGTCTACAGCAAGCTTGTCCAACCCGCGGCCCGCAGGCTGCATGTGACCCAGAACAGCTTTGAATGCAGCCCAACAAAAATTCATAGACTTTCTTAAAACATCATGAGCTTTTTTGCGATTTTTTTTTTTTGCTTATCAGCTATCATTAGTGTTAGCATATTTTATGGTTGGCCCAAGACAATTCTTCTTCCAATGTGGCCCAGGAAAGCCAAAAAATCAGACACCCCTGATCTACATGTATGTCAAAATATCATGTTGCACATCTTAAATATATACAATAAAACAAAAAGAACCACGTCCTCTGTCACAAGACTGACAAATGTCCCCAGAAGATCAATCTCGCTAGTTCATTGTGGTAGGCACAGTTGGAGGCCCAGCCAGATCCCTTTTACTCACCCTAGCACGCAGCCCCCAGTTCCCCTAAGTGCTAGAGGCTCACAACTGCACCTTTTATCAGAAAATTGCCCTCAGCAGGACAGGGTCACTTTGCTTGAAAGATTATCCCTCAAGGGGACATTCCATATCCAAACATGAGGGGTACAAAAGTCAGCCCTCTTTACCTCAATGGGGGACAAGGATAAGGGCAATTGATGCTTCAGAGCTCTCCTAGGGATCCGGCTGAAGCTAGACTTCAGTTGGACTCATCTTCACCTAACTCCTTCCCCTGCCCTATCCATCCCTCCCTCCATTATAGGTTTTTCCTGAGAGTGCTCCCACCATTAATCAGGGGCAGTGAATTTGCTGTCTCAGGTTCTGCTTCTAAGATGCCCAGCCAAAGACAGCCCTTCAGTAGGACACAATGATGGCTTGACCCAGAGGAAGACACATGACCCCAACATAGCTACAGCCTTCTGGAGCATTGATATGGACTCTGGGAAGAAGCAGGTATGTCTCTTTCTAAGGTTATGAGCTACATGTAAGAAAATTGTGGTAGGTGTATGTTAATTTTACTCTCTAACATGTATTTCACCCCTGATAACACTACACCCATTGTGCAGGAAAGGGGAGGGAGCTACCTTCCTCTCATTCTCAGTTCCTCTACTTTGAGTGGAGGTGAATTCTCTTTGAGCCCATAGTTAGGCATGTAACCCGCATCTGATTAGTCATGTTCCCGTGACCACAGAGACTGTTTGGCATAGCCCTGCGTCCCAATGAGAGCCATTGAAATATGGGATTGTTAAGAGAGAGAAAAACTCTTTTTCCCTGGACTAAGAGCATCAAGGATGAGAAGAACCTAGGGCCGCTGGAAGGTAGCATGAGGGACTGTTCTGAGAATGAAGCCAACAAACACAGCAGCAGGCAGGCTCCTAATGGAGGGAGTGAAATAAGCCCAAGTGGTTGACATTGCTGGAGCTCTTAGCTTAAGCTCCCCTACAAGCCAACCCTATCCTAGATTACACCTCTTTGATTATACAGGCTAGTAAGTTCTCTTATTTTGTTTGTTTAAGCTAATTTACAATGAATTTTGTAACACTCACAACCCAAACAGTTCTGATAGACGGCAATGATGGCAAGTCTGAAGCTGCTGGAAAATACATTACTGCCATGTGGAGAGACTCTGGGTGACAATAAAGCCTACTCATAAAAAGGAAAGAATTAGAACCAAGAGAGGAAGAGAGAGCAAGCAATAGCTGTGAGCAGTGTCCAAGAACAAGGATCCTGCTGTTTCTGAAGCATACTGCTCCCTTGGGTTCTCATTCAATTATGGAACCAACAAATCCACTCCCCACCACCTTTTTTTGTTTGTTTTTTAACTTTAAAAGGGTAAGAGTTAAGCTTTATCATTCCTAAAGGAAAGAGCTTTGACAGCCACAATACCCTTTTTGTTTTCTCGTCTTTCCTTTGAGTCATCTTATTTTCTCCCTACTGAGTTGGAGGTACTCTATATATTCTGGACACTGATTTTTCTTTTTCCTTTTCTTTTTTTGACACAGGGTCTTGCTCGATTGCCCAGGCTGGAGTGTTGCCCAGGCTGGAGTGCAGTGACATGAACACAGCTCACTGCAGTCTCCATCTCCCAGGCTCAAGCAATCCTCCTGCCTCAGCTTCTTGAGTAGTGGGAATTACAGCACACACCATCATTTTTAAATTTTTAAATTTTTATAGATATGGGGTCTCCCTGTGTTGCCCAGGCTGGTCTCAGACTCCTGGGTTCAAGTGATCTTCCCACCTTGGCCTCCCAAAGTGCTAACATTATAGGTGTGAGCCAGTATGCCTGGCCCAGACATTGATCTTTTGTCCATTGTTTGCTGTAATTTCTTCCACTCCATCTCATACCTTTGACTCTGTTTATTGCTATTTCTCACGTTGAGAAGGCTGTAATTTTATGTGGTCTAAATTGACAAGCTAACCAGCATCATTTTTGGATTTATCAGATGTGGTTCTTTGGGCTGAAGGTGATGGAAACCCAACTCAATCTGATTCGAAGAAAAAGACAATTTTTGGTAACAAAATTGAGAATTCTGGAGTTATTTAGTATTAAGCCACAACCAGAATCATAATTCCAACCATATCATTAGAGCTATTTCTCACTGGGTGTGGTGGCTCACACCTGTAATCACAGCACTTTGGGAGGCCGAGGCAGGAGGATCATTTGAGGTCAGGAGTTTGAGACCAGCCTGAGCAACAGAGTGAGACACTGTCTCTACAAAAAAAAAAAAAAAATTATCTGGGCATGGTGGGTCTTGTCTATAGTCCCAGCAACTTGGGAGGAAGATCGCTTAAGCCCGGGAGTTTGAGGCTACAGTGAACTATGATTGGCCACTGCACTGCAGCCTGGGCAACAGAGCAAGACTGTCTCTAAATAAATAAATAAATAAATATGAAAAACAGGGCTGGGTGCGGTGGCTCACACCTGTAATCCCAACACTTTGGGAGGCCGAGGTGGGTGGATCACGAGGTCAGGAGATCAAGACCATCCTGGCCAACATGGTGAAACCTCGTCTCTACTAAAAATACAAAAATTAGCTGGTGTGGTGGCGGATGCCTGTAGTCCCAGCTACTCAGGAGGCTGAGGCAGGAGAATCACTTGAACCCGGGAGGCAGAGGTTGCAGTGAGCCAAGATCGTGCCACTGCACTCCAGCCTGGCGACAGAGCAAGACTCCATCTCAAAAAAAAAGAAAAAAAGAAAAACAGAACTATTTCTCTCTGAATCTCTCAGTTCTCTGGGCTTCTTTTCTGTTGAAGTTCCCTTCACCTTGTTGGAAATATGGCCCATATTCTTATAGTTCATGATTTCAAAGGAAGGGAGAGAGACTGTCATGACAGACTGGGTGTAGGAATTCCAGAAGAGTCTTTGAACCAGGTTGGGCACTCTGACTGATGTGTATCGTATATCCATTCCTGTGTCTGGATGAGGCATTTCAAACTACTCAAGCTGCTCCACACAAGACAGAAGAGTTTTGTCATGGAAGAATGGAAGAAGAAAAAGCCTGTAAGTATTGAACAGCTGCCATATTCATCTCAACCTTTCGTGTCTCACTTATGAAAACTTTCCTCCCTCTGAATTTTAATTTTTAATCCTCCAACATATTTGCTTTTAGAATTTTTGATATTTTCATTTTAGATCTATATTTCGCCTAGAATTTATTTTTATTGATGGTATGAGGTAGAAACCTAACTTAATTCTTTTCCAATATATAAAACCTGTTGTCCCCAAACCATATATTGAGTACTCTCTTCTTCCCAACAGTTGGAAATGCTGCATTCATTAAAGCTAAATTCTACATTTCTGTGGGTCTGTTTCTTGATTATGCAGTTTGCTCCATTGATCTGTTCTTCTATGCATGTAACAATTCCCTGTTGTTTAAATATTGGTTAACTTCTCTTTTTTTTGGAGATGGAGTCTCGCTTGCTCTGTCACCCAGGCTGGAGTGCAGTGGTGCGATCTCGGCTCACTGAAACCTCCTCCTCCCGGGTTCAAGCCATTCTCCTGCCTCAGCTTCCTGAGTAGCTAAGATTACAGGCACATGCCACCATGACTGGCTAATTTTTGTATTTTTTTTTTAATAGAGACAGGGTTTCACCATGTTGGTCAGGCTGGTCTCGAACTCCTGACCTCGAGTGATCTGCCTGCCTTGGCCTCCCAAAGTGCTGGGATTATCGGTTAACTTCATTGGGAAGCCCTGCTTTTTACTTGATCCTAAACTTCTAACTGGTATGTTTTGATTCTCTCTGGTCTTGTGTTCCATTAATCTGATTCTGCCAATTTTTCTTTATTTTTTCAATAATTTTAAAATTGATTTCTAATTGTTAATTCTTACCAAAGCAACAAATGAAAATGGTTTAAAAAGTAAAATAGTGCTGTGAAGCTCAAACTGAAAAGCAACCCGTCTGGGCAACAAAGTGAGATGCTGTCTCTACAAAAGAATGACAAATTAGCCAGGCATGGTGGCACCCACCTGTGGTCCCAGCTATTCAGCAGGCTGAGGCAGGAGGATTCCTTGAGCCCAGGAGGCTGGGGCTGCAGTAAGCCCTGGTCATGCCACTGCATTCTAGCCTGGACAATAGAGCAGGAGCCTATTAGAAAGAAAAAGAAAGGAAGGAAGGAAGGGACAAGGATGGGAGGGAAGGGGAGGGGAAGGAAGAAAAGAAAAACTCCATTTCCCAATCCCACCCAAGGTGAGTGCTAAAATTATTTCTCCTTGCATTTACATCCATAGTTCCAAGGAACATGCTTATAGTGCCAATTTTTTTTTTTTTGAGACAGAGTTTTGCTCTTGTCACCCACGCCTGGCCTATAGTGCCAATTCTTGACTTTTAAATACATTAACAAATTGGCTGGGTGCAGTGGCTTATGTCTGTAATCCCAGCACTTTGGGAGGCTGAGGTGGGTGGATCACTTGAGGTCAGGAGTTCAAGACCAGCCTGGCCAACATGGTGAAACCCTGTCTCTACTAAAAATACAAAAATCAGCTTGGCATGGTGGCATGCGCCTATAATCTCAGGTACTCGGGAGGCTGAGGCGGGAGAATCGTTTGAACTCGGGAGACAGATGTTGCAGTGAACCGAGATCGCACCACTGCACTCCAGCCTGGGCGACAGAGCGAGACTCCATGTCAAAAAATAAAAATAAAAATAAAATAAATAGATAAGTAATAAATTAACAAATCGATTAGACAAAAGCAAACAACTCAATAGAAAAATGAGTAGGTATTCTGGATACAAGTCCTTTCTCAGACACATATATGGCAAATATCTTCCACTCTCTGGCTTACCTCTTCATTCAATGTCATCTTCTGGTGGACATAAGTTTTTAATTTTCAGGGCCAGGTGCAGTGGCTTACACCGTAATCCTAGCACTTTGAGAGGCTGAGGCAGGCGGATTGCTTGAGCCCAGGAGCTCAAGATCAGCCTGGGCAACATGAGAACCTTTCTCTTAAAAAAAAAAAAAAAAAAAAAGGCCGGGCACGGTGGCTCACACCTGTAACCTAGCACATTGGGAGGTCGAGGTGGGCAGATCACCTGAGGCTGAGGTCGGGAATTCGAGACCAGACTGACCAACGTGGAGAAAGCCCGTCTCTACTAAAAATACAAAATTAGCTGGGCGTGGTGGCGCATGCCTATAATCCCAGCTATTCGGGAGGCTGAGGCGGGAGAATTGCTTGAACCTGGGAGGTGGAGGTTGCGGTGAGCCAAGATCATGCCATTGCACTCCAGCCTGGGGGAAAGAGCCAAACTCAAAAAAAAAAATTCTTAATTTTTATGTCCTTGAATTTATTGTTTCCTTTATAGTTAGTGGTTTTTGTGACCTGTTTAAGAAATATTTGTCAGGCCAGGCACCGTGGCTCACACGTGTAATCCCAGCACTTTGGGAGGCCTAGGCAGGCAGATCACTTGAGGTCAGGAATTCGAGACCAGCCTGTCCAACATGGCGAAACCCCGTCTCTACTAAAAATACAAAATTTAGCCAGGTGTGGTGGTGCACCTCTGTAATCCCTGCTACTCGGGAGACTGAGGCAGGAGAATCGCTTGAACCCGGGAGGCAGAGGTTGCAGTGAGCCAAGATCGTGCCACTGTACTCTAACCTGGGTGACAGAGAGAGACTCCATCTAAAAAAAAAAAAAAATTGTCTACTCTTTGACAGTGAAACATTTTTCCTACATTTTTTTCTCTGAACATTTCATTGTTTGCCCTTAATATTTAGATGTTATAGTGTGTATGGTATGAGAAAGAAGTCAATTTTCATTTCTCCATATGGATACTAGTGCTGATAATTTACCTTTCCATTTTCTGCTTGTGAACACTGGGACTGGGGCCTGTGAATTATGTTTCTCAGCCTTCCTTGTTGATCGTTTCCCATTAGGCTCTCCAAGAAGAGATACATGGGCAGGAGATCAGAAGGCAGCAGAAAGAAGTCTTTCTTCTTTTTCCTTTCTTCTCAGTCTTTCCTTCTTCCTCTTTGAAGTGGAGGCCCCTCCTTCAAAGTTGAAGCTCTGGCAACATGTTCCTCCTCCCTGGGCCCAGCTCCTTTCTCTGCACTCTTAGATTCTGGTGGCACCACCTCCCCTACATTTGTTCCCTAAATGCTAGAAGAGACTGGAGTTACTTTTCTCTGGGTTACCTCATCTTCTTTTTGATCTTTCAGATTTCCATCACCTGTCTAACCACTTCTCTATACCAACTTTTCTGTTTCAGCACCATTTAACCGAAAAGGCTCTCCTTTCCCTGCTGCTCTGCAGAGCCATCTTTGTCATAAATTGTTTAAATATGGTCTAGTTTTCTATCTTAACACCAATACCATACTGTCTTGAGTACTAACTTTTAAAAATTTATTTTATTACTATTATTTTTTTAAGACAGGGTGTCGCTCTGTCACCCAGGCTGGAGTGCAGTGGCGTGATCACCACTCACTGCAGCCTCCACCTCCCAGGCTCACGTGATCCTCCCACCTCAACCTTCCTAATCACTGGGACCACAGGCACTCACCACCTTGCCCAGCTAATTTTTGTGGTTTTTTTTTTTTTTCTTTTTCGTAGAGATAGGGTTTCGCTGTTTTGTCCAGGCTGGCCTCAAATTCCTGGGCTTGAGCGATTCTTCCTCCTTGGCCTCCCAAAGAGCTGCAATTACATACATGAGCCACCACACCCAGGTTCTAACTTTTTAGTAAGTCTTGGTATCTGGTAGAACGAGTCCTCCCACCTTGAGCCAATATCACGCTCCATTACTGTAGTGATTAAGGAAATGCTTTTTTCTCTATTACCCGAAGGAGTCTGTGTAAGACTGAAATTATTTATTCCTTAAATGTTAATATGACTTGCCAGTAAAGCCATGTGAGCCTTAAATTTTCTTTGAAGAGAAGTTTTAAATTATGAATTCAGGTACTTTAAAAGTTAGAGGAGTTTTTCAAGTTTTCTATTTTTTCTTGTATCATTTTTGTATTTTCCCTAGGATTTCCACCTTAATTTTTAAATTGATTGATATAAAATGTGTCCATAATATCCTCTTTTTAGTTTTTAGAATTTATAGGATCAGAAGTGATGCCTCTGTTATATTCCTGAGACTGTTCTCTTTTTTCTTGATCAGGATCACAAAAGGTTTATCAATTTCATTAGTCTTTTCAGAGAACCAATGTGTGGCTTCATTAATCCTCTCTTTTGTATGCTTGTTTTCTAGTTAATTAATTTTTTCCAGGTGGAAGCTGGGGCTGTGGAGAAAACACACACACACCACTCAAAGTAGAGAGAAAATGGCTTTCCCCCCTCTACCTGCTAGTTTTCTGAGAATGCCCCTATCGGCTGAACCAAAGTCTAGGACATGTAGCTCCCTGTATTTCAGAGTAGAAAAGAGAAAGGAAGAAAAGAATAGGCAGAAAGAAAGAATGGCAAACAACAAGCCTGTAGATCTATTTTGTCAGTTTCTGCAAGAAATATGTTAAAATGTCTCACCATGATCATAGACACATCTATTTCTACTTCTAGTTCTGTTGATTTAGCATTTTATTTTGAGGACGATATTAGTAGGTGCCTACAAATTTAGAATTATTACATCTTCCTGGAAAATTGCCTTTTTTCTGAGACGGAGTCTTTCACTGTCACCTAGGCTGGAGTGCAGTGGTGTGATCTCGGCTCACAGAGTGCAACCTCTGCCTCCTGGGTTCAAACAATTCTTGTGCCTCAGCCTCCTGAGTAGCTGAGCTTACGAGTATGTTCTACCACACCCGGCTAACTTTCATATTTTTAGCAGAGACAGGGTTTCGCCATGTGGGCCAGGCTGGTTTTGAACTCCTGGCCTCAAGTGATCCACCTGCCTCCCAAAATGCTGGGATTACAGGTGTGAGCCACTACACCCAGCCAAAATGACATTTTATCATTGTGAATTATGAGTCTTATATTTGTCTCAGTTCTTCTTTTTCTTTTTTAATATATAGAGACCGTGTCTCGCTATGTTGCCCAGGTAGGTCTCAAACTCCTGGCCTCAAGTGATCTTCCTGCCTCAGCCTCCCAAAGTGCTGGGATTACAGGTGTGAGTCACTGTGCTCGGCCTGTCTCAGCTTTTCTAACACCTATTCCTCTCCTTTCTTTCCTTCTGACTGATTAATATAGTTCATTATTCCATTTTTTGTTTCTGCTAATTTGAATGTTAAACAATCTTTTTCTAGTAATTTAGCAGTGACCCTCAAAATCATAATGTTTATCATTGCCTCATCCAGTCTAATGTGAATTGATCCATTAACCCTCCTCCTGGGCAATGCAAGGACCTTAGAACACTTTTAAGTCCTTTTACACACACCTGACATATGGCCATTGTTGCACATATGCATGTAGTTTTTTGTTGTTTTTTTTTTGAGACTGAGTTTTGCTCTGTCACCAGGCTGAAGTGCAGTGGCGTGATCTCAGTTCACTGCTGCAATCTCCAACTGCATGGTTCAAGCAATTCTCCTGCCTCAGCCTCCCGAGTAGCTGGGATTACAGACACACACCACCACGCCCAGCAAACTTTTGTATTTTTTTTAGTAGAGACAGGGTTTCACCATGTTGGCCAGGATGGTCTTGATCTCCTGACCTCATGATCCGCCCGCCTCAGCCTCCCAAAGTGCTGGGATTACAGGCATGAGCCACCACACCCTGCCTACATATGGTTTTTATCCAACAAAACATCATGACTATCATTTTAAATGACCAATGTACATTAATATTTACCCACATTTTACACTTATATTTACCCACATATGTTCCATTTTGTTACTCATTATTTCTTTCTGCATCTCTGGTCTTCTATATTAGAGTCATTTTCTTTCTACCAGAAACACACCTCTTATACTTTCATTTAGTTATGGTCTATAGATGACAAAGTATTTGTTTCTGAATTCTATTTCTTATTTTTTAGAGACCGAGTCTCGCTCTGTCGCCCAAGCTGAAGTCCATTGGCACAATCAGGGCTCACTGCAGCCTCCAACTCCTGGGCTGAAACAATCCTCCAACCTCAGCCTCCCAAGTAGCTAAGAATACAGGCATGTGCTACCACACCTGGCTAATTTTTTGTTTTGTTTTGAGATGGAGTCTCGCTTTATTGCCCAGGCTGGTCTCAAACTCCTGACCTCAAGGGTTCCTCTCACCTTGGCCTCCCAAAGCACTGGGATTACAGGCATGAACCACACCCAGCATTCATTGAGCTTTAAACTTCAGTTATTCCAGTTTTTATTTACTAGAAACTCTAATAACTGAATAACTTCAGTTATTCTAGTAAACTAATATTTACTAGAAAATTATTAGTTATTCTAGTAAATATAATACTATATTACTAGTAAATATAATATATATTATATTTAATATGATGTTGAATATACTAATATAACACTATAAATATTACTATTATAATAGTACTATTATATTACTAGTAAATATAATATTTAGTAGTTATTCTAGTAAATTCTAAAATTTACTAGAATAACTTATTAGAATAACTTCAGTTATTCTAGGTTTTATTTACTAGAAACTTTAATTGATATTTTTCTAAAACTTGTTGGTCAACTTTTAGCATTTGCTATCTCTTATAGATATTTTTCAGGCTTTTCATTTATTTCTTTAAATATTTTAAGTGTACTTTTTATAATCTGTCTGACAATTCTAATATCCTAAGCCTGTGTGAATCTGTTTCTAGAGTTGGTTGTTTCTGCTGTTTCTTTCTCATGTTATCTTATTTTCTTGTTTATTATCTTTGACCTCCTGCTGGTCATCACCCTTGAAAATGTATTTTAGGTGCTCCCTAAGGCCCAGAATGGATATATCAAGTTCCAGAGAGACCTTCTATTTTGCTTCTGTTTCATCACTCAATGACTTCCTCAAACTAAGTTCACAGCTGTCCCCTCCAGGTAGCACAGACTGTTCCAGGTACAAGTCAGGACTGATCAGTAGCCACAAATTCTCAAAGACAGATTTTTTGTTTGTTTGTTTCTCCTATCTTTTTTTCTCTTTGTTCAGGACCAAGACGGCCTTCTCCAAACTCCCCTGGGGTAGTGGAAGGGAACAAGTTTGGTTCTGATTTACCTTTATCCTGAGAGTATAGGCCTTTGTGGGGGGTCCCAGCTTGATTTGAACAGGGTCTTTGAGTCTACCCACCTTAAACAAGCCCTAAGCCTCTAAAAATTTTTTTTTTTTTTTTGAGACAGAGTTTCGCTCCTGTTGCTCCATCTGGGCTCACTGCAACCTCCACCTCCTGAGTTCAAGCAATTTTCCTGCCTCAGCCTCCCAAGTAGCTGGGATTATAGGCGACCATCACCACACCCAGCTAATTTTTCTATTTTTAGTAGAGACGGGGTTTCACCATGTTGGCCAGGCTGGTCTCAAACTCCTGACCTCAGGTGATCCACCCGCCTTGGCCTCCCAAAGTGCTGGGATTGCAGGTGTGAGCCACCGTGCCCAGCCTAAGTCTCTACTTTCATCCATTTGCCCTGTCTCCCAACACCACTGAACAAAAGCCCAACTATGCAGTATTAGCAAGACAGAAGCAGCTTTGGTAATCTGATATTACGCTCAAAACAGAAAAATTTGACCTCAGTATTTCCCCTTACGTTTTTAGCTCAATGTTTTTAGGGATATAAATAGATAGATACAGTTTGATAGATAAATGGAGAACTAGAGACAAATAGATACAGATACTTAAGCATTTTTAAATAGTTTCATTATAAAATTGATTCAATTACCTCATCTTTTCTACCAGATATGGAAGTCTTATTTTTTGATTTTTTATTCTTAAATATTATCTGACTCCTTACCATATAAACTTAATTTGCACTATCTTGTTCCCTATCACGTGGACACATTCACATACTGACGTAATTTTACTCCTACAATCACACTCCCAGCAAATAATAGTTATAATATATATTATTATGCTGGTATTTAGCATTTGTGTTATTATCATTATGCAAACATAGTTCACAGCCAGGGCTGCCCTAATGTAGAAGTCCAGGGTGACTTCTGGGGCTAAGCAGTATGTGACCTAAGCAGTGACAGGTTGCCCTGTTCAAGGCTGAGGCAAGTAGGTGACTGTAATTTCTCCCAGGTTGTGGGGGGATTGCTTCAGGGTTCCTGATGGGCAGTCTGATGCCATTGTGTTTCCTGATTGTTTTTATGTGACCTACTTTTTTTCTTCTCTAGAAGCTCATACAATCCATTGTTTCTAATATTCTGAAATTTTATGTGTTGTGCCACTAACTGTTTATGTGAAGAAACATTTTATTTTGGAATAATTTAAGATTTACAGCCAGGCATGGTGGTTCACACCTATAACCCCAGCACTTTGGGAGGCCAAGATGGGAGGATCACTTGAGCCCAGGAATTCAAGACTAGCCTGGGCAACATAGTGAGACTCTGTCTCTACAAAAAAAAAAAATTCGCCAGGTGTGGTAGCACATGCCTGTAGTCCCACCTAGTTGGGAAGCTGAGGCAGGAGGATCACGTGAGTCCAGGAGATGGAGGCTGCAGTGAGCTATGATGGCACCACTGCACTCCAGCCTGGGTGACAGAGTGAGATACTGCCTCTATTTAAAAAAAAAAATTGAGTGCTGCAGGAGGATCCCTTAAGCCCAGGAGTCCCAGACCAGTCTGATCAACATGGTGAAACCTCGTCTCTACAAAAAAAATTTTTTAAATTAGCCAGGCTGGAGTGCAGTGGCGTGATCTCAGCTACAACCTCCACCTCCCAGCCGCCTGCCTTGGCCCCCCAAAGTGCCGAGATTGCAGCCTCTGCCCGGCCGCTACCCCATCTGGGAAGTGAGGTGCGTATCTGCCTGGCCGCCCATCGTCTGGGATGTGAGGAGCCCCTCTGCCTGGCTGCCCAGTCTGGAAAGTGAGGAGCGTCTCTGCCCGGCCGCCATCCCACATAGGAAGTGAGGAGCGCCTCTTCCCGGCCGCCATCCCATCTGGGAAGTGAGGAGCGTCTCTGCCCGGCCGCCCATCGTCTGAGATGTGGGGAGCGCCTCTGCCCCGCCGCCCCGTCTGGGAGGTGAGGAGCGTCTCTGCCCGGCCGCCCCGTCTGAGAAGTGAGGAGACCCTCCGCCTGGCTGCCACCCTGTCTGGGAAGTGAGGAGCGTCTCCGCCCGGCAGCCACCCCGTCCGGAAGGGAGGTGGGGGGTCAGCCCCCCGCCCGGCCAGCCGCCCCGGCCAGCCACCCCGTCCGGGAGGTGAGGGGCGCCTCTGCCCGGCCGCCCCTACTGGGAAGTGAGGAGCCCCTCTGCCCGGCCAGCCGCCCCGTCCGGGAGGGAGGTGGGGGAGTCAGCCCCCCGCCAGGCGAGACGCCCCGTCCGGGAGGGAGGTGGGGGGGGTCAGCCCCCCGCGCGGCCAGCTGCTCAGTCCGGGAGGGAGGTGGGGGGGTCAGCCCCCCGCCCGGCCAGCCGCCCCGTCCGGGAGGGAGGTGGGGGGTCAGCCCCCCGCGCGGCCAGCTGCTCAGTCCGGGAGGGAGGTGGGGGGGTCAGCCCCCCGCCCGGCCAGCCGCCCCGTCCGGGAGGTGAGGGGCGCCTCTGCCCAGCCGCCCCTACTGGGAAGTGAGGACCCCCTCTGCCCGGCCACCACCCCGTCTGGGAGGTGTACCCAACAGCTCATTGAGAACGGGCCATGATGACAATGGCGGTTTTGTGGAATAGAAAAGGGGGAAAGGTGGGGAAAAGATTGAGAAATCGGATGGTTGCCGTGTCTGTGTAGAAAGAAGTAGACATGGGAGACTTTTCATTTTGTTCTGTACTAGGAAAAATTCTTCTGCCTTGGGATCCTGTTGATCTATGACCTTACCCCCAACCCCGTGCTCTCTGAAACATGTGCTGTGTCCACTCAGGGTTAAATGGATTAAGGGCGGTGCAAGATGTGCTTTGTTAAACAGATGCTTGAAGGCAGCATGCTGGTTAAGAGTCATCACCATTCCCTAATCTCAAGTACCCAGGGACACACACACTCTGCCTAGGAAAACCAGAGACCTTTGTTCACTTGTTTATCTGCTGACCTTCCCTCCGCTATTGTCCTGTGACCCTGCCAAATCCCCCTCTGTGAGAAACACCCAAGAATGATCAATTAAAAAAAAAAAAAAAAAGAAACCATTATGATCCATCATGTGGACTCTGCAGTGGTATCTTAACTGGACTGTTTGCTTTCTTTTTGCCTTCCCAGAATCCCCTAGAATGAAAGCTCCGTGAGGGCAAGGGCTTTAACTGTCTTACTCATCTCTGTGTCCACAGTGCCCAGAACACTATCTGGTACAGAGTGGATACTCATTAAATATTTGTCATATGTATAAAGATTGAATGAATCACTTCTTTAGTTGGAATTTATAACATAAATCAGATTATGCTCTTTCTTGCTGTGACATAATAAAAAAATACGTATTTGGTAAAAAAAAAAAAAAAAAAAATTACAGAGAAGTTGCAAAGATAATATAGAGAATTCCTATATACCCCTCACCTAGTTTTCCCTAATGTTAACATATGAGATTACCATGGTATATTTGTGAAAATTAAAAAACCAATATTGGTATGTTACTATTCACTAAACTCCAGACCTCATTCAAATTTCATCAGTTTTTCTACTCATGCCCCTTTTCTGTTCCAAGATCCAATCCAGGACACCATATTGCATTTATTCATCCTGTCCCTTTAGTCTCCTCTGGTCTGTGATAGTTTCCCAGTCTTGTTTTGTTTTCATAGCCCTGACGGTTTTGAGGAGTACTATCCAGCATTTTGTAGAATGTTTCTCAGTTTGCATTTGTCTGGTATGTTTCTCAGGACTAGACTGGGCTTATGGGATTTCGAGAAGAATAGCACAAGTAATATACTCTTATTACTGATAATGTTAACCATGATCACTTGGTTAAGGTGGTATTTCCAGGTTTCTCCATCACACAGTTACCATTTTTCCCACTTCCATATTCTGTTATTTGGAAGTGAGCCACAAAGTCCAGCCTACCCTCAAAGGGGTTGGGGAGAAGAAGTAAACTTCTTTTTGCAAGGTGGAGAGCATAGCTACTTATGTTATTTGAAATTCTTCTATAAGGAAATTTGTCCCTTTTCTGTCATTTATTTTTCAATCATTTTCTCTCTGTAAATATGGCCTCATCTATACTTATTTACACTTTGGGTTACAATCCAATACCACATTATTTATTTTGGTTCCCAAATTGGTCTGGCTTTGGCCATTGGAAACTCCTCAGAGTTGGCTGTGGTATCCCTCTGACTTTTTTTTTTTCTTGAGTACTTCCTTGCCTTCTGGTCTATCAGGTGCTCTGGGCTCATCTTGCATTTTCCTTGCCTTGAAATAGCTTCAGTCATTTTTTCAAGAAGCCCTGGTTTTTTAAAATCAGAGAATGGTATTTAGAAACCATTCTTGGTTTAGAAACCAAGATCTGGGCACTGGATGTGCTTGTTTTATTGGGTGTCACTGCTCTTGGATCTCTTAGCAGAGGGTTAGAATAATATGTATGTGTATACTAATCCATTTAGACACACATTTATTTCTAAAGTTATTTCTGTATTTACTCATCTGTGGGTGTGTGTATATGCACACACACACACATAAATATGAATTCATACTAATTTCTGTGTGTGCGTATGTGTGTGTGTGTGTGTGTGTGTGTGTATGTATTTTGAGACAGAGTCACACTCTGTCGCCAGGCTGGAATGCAATGGCACAATCATAGCTCACTGCAGCCTCAAACTCCTGGGCTAAATCAGTCCTCCTGCCTAAACCTCCCAAGTAGCTAGGACTACAGGTACATGCCACAATGCCTAGCTAATGTTTTAAATTTTTTGTAGAGATGGGGTCTCTCTATGTTGCCTAGCCTGGTCTCAAACTCCTGGCCTCAAGGAATCCTCCCACCTAAGCCTCCCAAAGTGCTGAGATTACAGGCGTGAGCCACTGTGCCCAGCCTGTGTGGATATTTTTTAATTAATTCATTGTTCTAGGTTCCTGGTAAGACCTTTCAATGCAGAAACTTGTGACTTTGTGTTAGGGAAGCAGGAGCCTAGAAGAGCCAAATTAAAAGTTCAGCTCCATCTGGAGACTAACAGGGCACATTCCTTGCCAGTCACTACCCATGATTACAGATGTTTATAGTTGAGGAAAGACCATAAAGACACCTACGAGGACGCACTCCTCCGTCAGAGAGTTCAGATGTCCCAGTACCCATAAAAACACATGCTTTCAAGATAATAACAGTTATGGCAGGGTATGGTGGCTCACACCTGTAATCCCAGCACTTTGGGAGGCTGAGGAGGGCAGATCACTTGAGGTCAGGAGTTTGAGACCAACCTGGCCAACATGGTGAAACCTTGTCTCTACTAAAAATACAAAAATCAGCTTGGCATGGTGGCATGCACCTGTAATCCCAGGTACTCGGAAGGCTGAGGCGGGAGAATCGTTTGAATCTGGGAGGCAGAGGTTGCAGTGAGCCGAGATTGCACCACTGCACTCCAGCCTGGGCGACAGAGCAGGACTCCATCTCAAAGATAAAAAAAGAGAAGAAAGATAATAACAGTTATGCTCTGATGGACTCACACACTGAAATGTCAAAGAGGCCGGGCATGGTGGCTCAAGCCTGTAATCTCAGCACTTTGGGAGGCCGAGGCGGGCAGATCACGAGGTCAGATCGAAACCATCCTGGCTAACACGGTGAAACCCCATCTTTACTAAAAATACAAAAAATTAGCCGGACGTGGTGGCGGGCGCCTGTAGTCCCAGCTACTCGGGAGGCTGAGGCAGGAGAATGGCGTGAACCCGGGAGGCGGAGCTTGCAGTGAGCCGAGATTGCGCCAGTGCACTCCAGCCTGGGCGACAGAGCGAGACTCCGTCTCAAAAAAAAAAAAAGAAAAACTCTGTGTGTGTGTGTGTGTGTGTGTGTGTGTGTGTGTGTGTGTGTGTGTACCCTCGTGTGCTCGCACAAACGAACAGAGCTAGAGTTAAAGGAATTCCAAGGACAATTTGCTGGGTAAAATTCAAGACTGATTAATTTTCCACAGGGCAATAAAATCATTGTATTTAACCACACAACCAGGCTATAAAAACATAGAACCTATTAGTCTCTAAAGTTAAACTATACCAGGCTATAAAAACATAGAACCTATTAGTCTCTAAAGTTAAACTGTAACTTTATAGAACCATAAAACTGTCTGTTTCTTCAATCATTATGGATTGATTACATACATTGTGGCAATGGAATTTCATTCCCCTGGTGTGTCCCATGAGGGTAAATTCCCAGGATGCAGGTTCTGCTTTTATTGAAACAGGGTTTGAAAAAGTGTTCCCCTAAGATCTCAGGAATTAGGCAATCATAATTTTGCCATTTTCCCAAGTGTGGAATCATTTCCTCTTTAATACCTGTGTCAGGTGAGAATGTCTGAAATATGTGTTTTGTTTGGTTTTTTGAGACAGGGTCTCACTCTGTTGCCCAGGCTGGAGTGCAGCAGCGTGTTCATGGCTCACTGCAGCCTTGACCTCTCAGGCACAAGCTATCATCCCATCTCAGCCTCCTGAGTAGCTGGGACCACAGGTGTGTGCCACCACGCCTGGCTCATTTTTGTAATTTTTTTTTTTTTTTTGGTAGAGATGGGGTTTCACCATGTTGTCCAGGCTGGTCTCAAACTCCCAAGCTCAAGCAATCCACCTGCCTCAGCCTCCCAAAATACTGAGATTACAGGCCTGAGCCACCATGCCTGGCCTAGAACATCTGAAATATTTATTCTCGACATCACTAGCTCAATCTTGTTTCAATGTCTGTTCTTTTTGTCCTTGTGAGTTTTGTCCTTTTTATTTTTTAACTGTTATTTTAGTGAGGTTTGGAGAGGACGTAGGCCCAAATGCATGGACTCAATTCCCCACTTTTAAAAAATTTTTATTTTATATTATTTTTTGGTAGAGACAGGGTCTCACTATGTTGCCCAGGCTGGTCTTAAACTTCTGGCCTCAATCAATCCTTCTGCCTCAGCCTCCCAAATTGTTAGGATTACAGGTGTGAGCCAACAAGCCTGGCCCAGTTCTGCTTTTTTGATCCCACATTTCCTCCTGCTCTCTATTGTCCAGGACTTTCATCAAATGCCTGGCCTTTTGGCTTTTCAGTTTCCTGATGCTGCTGTAGATGTATTACTTTCCCTCTTTCATGTCTTTTCTACATTTCACCAGGAGTGTTCAGCAAGAGTGACAGTGTGCACTTGTGTGCTTTATACACTCCCTTGATCCAGGTCTTTTCCTGACTATATCAACACTTGGTTCCAAATAGCAAAGAGCTCTCCATCTTTGGGGATAGAAGCAAACTGTTCCTATTACTCAGAAAAACCATTGCTGTAATGTTGCAAGAATTAATAGGTATCTTGTCTGCTATAGTCTTCCCAAGGCAGGAAAAAAACCATAAGCATCTCCTTTCCAGCCCTGACCTCTCCATTTCTTCCTCACCCCCTTCCACCTCCAGAAGATGCATCTTCGTTTGCTGGCATTCTGGCCTTCTTTGCCTCAGAGGATGCCCTTGTCAAGTTCTAGCTGTATTGCCTGGTGGGTGTGAAACCACTCTTAACATAAACTCCTCAGCTGGTCCTTGGCAAGGGCTTTTCCTCAACTTTTCAGATTTAGTGGGTGTTTCAGATTTTAGTTTAGTGGTAGTTATATATGCAGAATCCCAGGCCCCACTGGAGGAGAGGGAGAAGGTGGCTTGCAATCTACATTTTTATGGAGGCCCTCATGTCAAAATCTGGGACAATCTCAGCCTCATATGAATAATGCAGGAATGGATTATTATATATTGAATCAAAAGGAATCCATGTGTCTCTATTGATATTAACACCAAAAATTTTGGCCTGTGCTCACACCTGTAATCGCAGCACTTTGGGAGGCCAAAGCAGGAGTATCAGTTGAGCCCAAGAGTTCGAGGTTACAGTGAGCTATGATCATGTCACTGTACTTCAACCTGGGTAACAGAGAGAGACTCTGTCTCAAAACAACAACCACCACAATAAATAAATAAAACAACCAACAATGGTATTTTATTTTATTATTATTTTTCTTAATAGAGACAAGATCCTGCTATGTTGCCCAGGCTGGTCTCGAACTTATGGGCTCAAGCAATCCTCCCACCTCAGCCTCCCAAAATGTTGGGATTACAGGCGTGAGCCACTGCACCTGGCCAACACCAAAAATTTTAAAGGGGGTAGAAAAGAGGGCCAGGTGAGGTGGCTCACACCCGTAATCCCAGCACTTTGGGAGGCTGAGGTGGGTGGATCACTTGAGGTCAGGAGTTCAAGACCAGCCTGGCCAACATGGCAAAAACCCATCTCTACTAAAAATACAAAAATTAGCCAGGCGTCCTGATGCCCATCTGTAATCACAGCCACTTGGGAGGCTGAGGCAGGAGAATTGCTTGAACTTGGAAGTCAGAGGTTGCAGTGAACCAAGATGGCATCACTGCACTCCAGACTGGGCAAGAAAGTGAGACTCCATCTCAAAAAAAAAAAAGAAAAGAAAGCTCTTCTTCATAAAAGAATGCCAAATTGTGAATGTAGATGGAATGATAGAAATGGAAAAATCATCATTTTATGACCAGTCTATTAATAATTGATTCAGGCAGGCATCATCAATGGAATGTAAAACTATTAGGATAAAGGGGGTTGGGAAAAATGATATTCATAAGGTTTGAATGTATCACCCTACAGGCTGTTTAGTAATCGCAAAAGGGAAAACGTATCTTTACCACAGAGAGAGCTGAAGGTCACCACGTTGACCATCAGATTACACTTAGCATCACCATCAACGTGAAAATTGACTGGTGTGTTGCACTGAGAAGACACAACATCACTTAATGTTTCTACCAATAATCTAAACCCAGATTTATTTTTAAGAAAATCAGGTTGGCCAGGTGCGGTGCCTTATGCCTGTAATCCCAGCTACCTGGGGAGGCAGGAGAACCGCTTGAACCCATGAGGCAGAGGTTGCAGTGAGCCGAGGTTGCGCCACTACACTCCAGTCTGGGCCACAGAGCGAGACTCCGTCTCAAAAAAAAAAAGAAAGAAAGAAAGAAAGAAAATCAGGCCGTTATGATGTCATCTTGATTTTAAATACAAAGGCTTAGTCAGTGCACATGATCAACACTTTGAACTTTCAGTTCCCTTCTACCACAGCCTCCTATATGTTCTAGAAGTGTCTAAGGGAGACTCTTGTGCAGTGCTCTCAGAATCTTCCATTCTCCCTCTGGAAATGTCACCTGCCAGGCCTCTGTTGTATGAAAAGAGTTAGCATGGCCTCTTATGTTTTTGCAAAGTGCTTCCAATGCCAAGGTTACTCTATGCTGAAATATGCCTTGAAGCCACTTTCTTACATTATGATCCCAAAGGGACCACTTTAGACTTCCAGCATCTCACCAAGATTTTTATGTGACCATCATCCAGTTTATGTCATTAGTCCTTAGGACTGAGAAGTGGGTCCAGGGTGGCTTACAGGGGAAAGTGGCTTAGTCAGTATTGTCTTGCTGGTCTTGCTCTCTGGGGCATGGGATTCTTATTCCAAGCACCCATCCAGTCACGTAGCTCACGCTGGAACTCTCATCAGCCCATTGATATCTTGGAGTTTAACACAAGGAAGTATTGCACAAGACAAGCCAGAGACCCATGGACATAATGGCTGCCAAAGCAGAGAAGGGGAGGTGACAGATTTAGGAGACAGCAGCCGCCCTCACCCTCACTGTCCTCTCTGTTCCTCCTCTTTCCTTGGAAAACAGGCCTTCCTGGGGACCTCCTGCTCCCCTCAGTTATCCAGACTCTACCTGTCTTTTGTTTATACTAATGATAGCATGCTAGGTACAGTGTTCTCCATCTTGCTTTTTTCATTTAATATTTTTTTTTTTGAGACAGGATCTTGTTCTGTCACCAGGGCTGGGGTGCAATGGCACCAACACAACCCACTGTAGCCTCGACCTCCCAGGCTCAAGCAATTCTCTTGCCTCAACCTCCTGAGCAGCTGGGATTATAGGTATGTGACACCATGCCCAGCTATTTTTTAAAAAATTTTTTGTAGAGACAGGGTCTTGTTATGTTGATGAGGCTGGTCTTGAACTCCTGGGCTCAAGCAATCCATGTGCCTTGGCCTCCCAAAGTACTGGGATTACAGGTGTGAGCCACTACACTCAGCTCAACATTTTTTATATGTACAATTTGTTCATATCCTTTATCTTTGTCTTTTATATCTTTAAGAGAACTCTTTACCACCTTTTTAGTGAGGTTTCTGGAGAGGGTGGAAATGAGTATTTTCTATCCACCACAAGGTTTCCTTGGAGTTTACAAGTATATGTTGATATCCCCTGAAAATCTAGATAATTTTGTCTCCTCTTTTCCAATTCCATACTTCAAATCTTTAAAGATTTAAAGACTAGGTGTAGTGGCTCACACCTGTAATTCCAACTCTGTGAGAGGATCACTTGAGCCCAGGAGGTCAAGGTTGCAATGAGCCGTGATCATGCCACTGCATTCCAGCCTGGGTGACAGAACAAGACCTTGTCTCAAAAAGCAAGCAAGCAGGCAAACAAACAAACAAAACACGCTTATTATGGAAAAGAAGGGGGCAGAAGCCAAACTAGGGAGAGGAAGAAGTTAAACTGTGATGCAGGCCTAATAAAGCTTCAGCCAACACGGCAGGGAGTTTTTGAGTGAGAATTGCTCATTAAAGTGTCCCATGTTGACCCCAAAGAGGGAGGTCTTTATGCCTCCACCCGACTCAGTCATTGCACACTGGCTACCTTTGGAGGGACTGACCACATTCTCTGCAGCCAGGCAGCAAGTTCTTCCCTGAAGGGAGATCTGGGCCGCATATCTCTATGTCTATCACAACTTATCCATTCCATCAAGGTGGTGGGGAGGATTTGATATATTGCAGGGGATAAGCAAAGAGGAATTTTTTTTTTTGCAGCTTTGGACATTCACAATGGAGTTTTACTGCAAATCAATAGGCTCCAAAGCAAGATGTTGTCAAGAGGAAAATCGTTTTCTAAATTCCTTTAGTTTTCATTTGACATATGAAGACTCTGAGGTTGGAGCATTTCTTCCATAGTGTGCTTTCAAAACCTAGGCCTAGGCCTGAGGGTATGATGGAGAAGAAAATGAGGGAGAGGTAGCAGAGAATGACTATGGAATACATGGGCCCTAGTCTCTCTGTTCTAGACTGAATCATGAAGAAGCAGAGGTAGTTTGATAATTCAACTGGGCTTCAAGGGCAGGAGGCATTTGATCTATTCCATATTTGGGATTCTGGAAGGAGGCCACCATGTAGAATGGCCCTGCTTGAATCCAGTTAAGAGTAATGTGCAGAATGGTTAAGCAGGGTTACAGCCTCGACTGGCCTCCTGTTATGATCCTTGGTAGAGCAAATGCTGAGAGTCAGTAGGTCTGTCCTGGGGCCGCAGAGGGTGCTGAGTGGACTGATCAGCATGGACGGGAACAGAGGGGGCAGAACCAGGACTCAGAGGTGTCCACAAGGCAAGCGAAAGCCAATGAGAGGCTAAGTCATCAGACCCAGCTCAAACAGAAAAAGATGGATCTCCTCAGTGACAGACGTCAGCAAGTAGGAGCTAGACACATAAACCCACCTCTCCTTGTTCATCCAGACACCCTCTGAAAATGGGACAAGTATAAAAACCCAAAGATCTGAGTATTTGTTTGTTTATTTATTTATTTGAGACAGAGTCTCGCTCTGTCGCCCAGGCTGGAGTGCAGTGGCGCAGTCTCGGCTCACTGCAAGCTCCACCTCCTGGGTTCACACCATTCTCCTGCCTCAGCCTCCCGAGTAGCTGGGACTACAGGCACTGGCCACCACACCCAGCTAATTTTTTGTATTTTTAGTAGAGACGGGGTTTCACCGTGTTAGCCAGGATGGTCCCGATCTCCTGACCTCGTGATCCACCCGCCTCGGCCTCCCAAAGTGCTGGGATTACAGGCATGAGCCACCGCGTCTGGCCCTGAGTATTTATTTTTAAAAGACTCTACTAGTCATGCTTCTCCTGCATAACTACATCGAAATAAAAGGACTTACAACAAGCGTTGATTCTCTACTCATAGGTTGCAGGTTCAGCTGTGGGGCTCTGGCTTCAACTAGAATCAGCTGGGCTTGGCTCAAGGCTGTGAGCGGGATTCAAGTCCACTCCACAAGTCTTCTCATTCTAGGACCGGCAGTGACTGTGACATGCTCTTTATATAACAGAAGATGGGATTACAAGAGCCAAACCAAACCACGCAGGCACATTTTTAGCCTTGGCTCACATCACATCCACTAACATTCCATGGGCCAAAGTCAGTCTTAGAGCTAAGTTCAAAGTCAATGGGGTGGAAATGAATAATGTATATCAGGGAGGGAGTGAAGAATTGGGAACAATATCCAATCTACCACAGAGACTAGGCATTACCTAAAGGACTGACCAAATTTTAGCATTAGACTACGGTCGTTGGACAGGACTGAAACTTACTTTTTTTGCCTTGCTACCCAGTAACTGCGGACTTGTCTTGGGTCATGTTCTCTAGAAGCAGAGCCCAAGATGGGGATTCTTGTGTACATAATTTATGAAGAGTATGTTCTCAAGAGGAACATGTCAAGAAGTGAGACAAGTGTAGAAAATAGGAAGGAAGGGAGCAGGAATGAATCATATATATCAGGGAGGGAGTGAAGAATGTGGTTTCAGCTGGAATCTAGTCTGATCACGCAGGAAATTGGAATAAGAATTGTACTCCAGGGATGTCTCCCTTGAGTCAAGAGCTGGGCTTTTTGACCTTCTGTTGGTAAGTCATTGGCTGTCTTCCTCTCCCCTAGAACAGGTGTAACCTCCCCGACATTTCTTGGTAAGGTGACAGACAGCTGTAGACCAAGAACAGTTCTCTGGAGAAAGGGGAAGTTGTGATCCGAGAGCAACTAAAATTCACAACAGCTGGGGGTTGACACCCTGGCTGGTTAAGGCCATCTGGACAGGATGGCCTTAACACCAACAGACCGGTACCAGTCTGTGGCCTGTTAGGAAACGGGCCACACAGCAGGAGGTGAGTGTCAGGCGAGCGAGCATTACCGCCTGAGCTCCACCTCCTGTCGGCGGCATAGATTCTCATAGGAGTGCAAACCCTATTATGAACCGCGCATGAGAGAGATCTAGGTTGCGTGCTGTTTATGAGAATCTAATACCTGATGATCTGTCACTGTCTCCCATCACCCCCAGATGGGACCGTCTAGTTGCAGGAAAACAAGCTCAGGGCTCCCACTGATTCTACATTATGATGGGTCGTATAATTATTTCATTATATATTTCAATGTAATAATAATAGAAGTACAGTGCACAATAAACGTAATGTAATGTACTTGGATCATCCTGAAACCATCCCCCCACCCTGGTCTGTGGAAAAACTGTCCTCCAGGAAACCGATCCCTGGTGCTAAAAAGGTTAGGGACTTCTGTGCTATATATATGGCTCGTGAAAGACCAGACCAAAATTAAAGTACACACCCACAGCAAATACTGCTATTTCCTAATATCCATTCTTTCGTACTTTTTTTTTTTAATTATTTTTTTGAGACAGAGTCTCTCTCTGTCACCCAGGCTGGAGTGCAGTGGTGCTATCTCCACTCACTACAACCTCTGCCTCCCAGATTCAAGCGATTCTCCTGCCTCAGCCTTCCAAGTAGCTGGGATTACAGGTGCCCACCACCACACCCAGCTAATTTTTGTATTTTTAGTAGAGATGGGGTTTTGCCATGTTGGCCAGGCTGGTCGCAAACTCCTGACCTCGAGTGATCCGACTGTCTCTGCCTTCCAAAGTGCCAGGATTACAGGCACCCGCCGCCACACCCAGCTAATTTTTGTATTGTTAGTAGAGGTGGGGTTTTGCCATGTTGGCCAGGCTGGTCTCGAACTCCTGACCTCAAGTGATCCACCCATCTCAGCGTCCCAAAGTGCTGGGATTATGGGCGTGAGCCACTGTGCCCGGTCATTTCTCTCCTTCTTGTACCCAGAAGAAAAACAAACAAGATAGTTTAGCTGTCCAGAATCAAAACTACCTTTCTCAGACTCCCTTCTAACTAAGCAGGGCCATACATTTAGGTTCTAGACACCAGATGAAGGCAGACATATCACATGGAAGCTTCCGGGAATCTTCCTTAAGAGACAGCTGGTGTTACTCTTTGCCCCTTCTTTTCCCTTTCCTTCATCCTGCCGGCTTGAATGCAGGTGTAATGGCTGGGGCAGGAACGAAACTGTGAGGCGATCTGGAGAGTGAAGGCCAAAAGGGCCACAGTTCAAAGGGGGTCTGGTTCTGAGGTCACTGTGAACCCCAGTCACCACGCCTTCAACATGGAAAGGTACAATCTTCTACCTGCGTCAAATTACTGTTAATTAACTCTTACAAGGTAAAACTTATTCAGAGTAATGTAATCCTAACCAATCCAATATTTGAGACAGATTGAAAGTGAGTTTAAGAATGTGCTGCATATATTTTACCAAAACACCCTTTCGCAAAATTGTACCCATTTATACTCCATTTAGTAGATAGCAGTGTTCATTTCTCCACATTAGTTATTATTATTTTTTTTGGTTGGGTCAATTTTGTTTGTTTGTTTTCGGTGGAGTCTCACTCTGTTGCCCAGGCTGGAGTGCAGAACTCGGCTCACTGCAATCTCCGCCTCCTGGTTTCAAGCAATTCTCCTGCCTCAGCCTCCCAGGTAGCTGGGACTACAGGCATGAGCCACCATGCACAGCTAATATATATATATATATATTTTTTTTTTTTGGTATTTTTAGTAGAGACAGGGTTTCACCATGTTGGCCAGGCTGGTGTTGAACTCCTGACTTCAGGTGATCCACCCGCCTTGGCCAAAATGCTGGGATTAGAGGCGTGAGCCACCACGCCCGGCCTGGTTGGGTCAACTTAATAAGCAAAAAGGCAGCTCACTGCTGTTTCCATTTTCCTTCTCCTGGTGTCTAGTTAGGTTGTATGTATTTTCCTCTCTTCCTGAGCCATCTGTATTTCTTCCTCTATAAATTTATTAGGGAAACAGGAGCATAGGGGAGCCAGGGTGACACCGTTTAAAAATCAAATCCATTTTAAAACTAGCAAAGTACGGCTGTAATCCCAGCACTTTGGGAGGCTGAGGCGGGTGGATCACCTGAAGTCAGGAGTTCAACATCAGCCTGGCCAACATGATGAAACTCCGTCGCTACTAAAAATACAAAAATTAGCCAGACACTGTGGCGCACGCCCATAATCACAGCTACTCGTGACCAGCCTGGCTAACATGGCAAAACCCCAACTCTATTAAAAATACAAAAATTATCCGGGTGTGGTGGTGGGCGCCCGGCCGGTGGTCATAAGATGTTTACAGTTGAGGAAACAGCTTAAAAACGCTTTAAAATGGGCAGGGCGCAGTGGCTCAGGCCTGTAATCCAAGCACTTTGTGAGGCCTAGGCGGGCGGATCAAGAGGTCAATAGATCGAGACCATCCTATCCAACATAGTAAAACACCGTCTCTACCAAACATACAAAAATTAGCTGGGCATGGTGGCGTGCGCCTGTAGTCCCAGCTACTCAGGAGGCTGAGGCAGGAGAATTGCTTGAACCCAGGAGGCAGAGGTGGCAGTGAGCTGAGATTGCACCACTGCACTCCAACCTGGTGACAGAGAGAGACTCCGTCTCAAAAAAAAAAAAAGAAAGAAAGAAAGCTTTAAAATGCCTCGAATCACTGCAGCCTCGACCTCCTGGGCTCCAACTATCCTCCTGAGCATCTGGGACCACAGGCACATGCCACCATGCCAAGCTAATTTTGTATTTTTTTGCAAGGACAAACTCCTGCAATGGCAGAATGTACACACGTCCCAATATCACATAACAATATATTTTTTTAAGTGATGCACTAAAATGCCAAGGATAGCCTTCTTTAAATCAGCAAAGTACTAAATTTTGTCATGCTGTCAGCCCACCTGCACGTAACCATAATTTAGTTTACCTTTTACATAGACAAGACTCCTATATAAGAAGAGGTTAAAAGTAAGCACGTTCCTCCTGTTTCCTGAGAACCCCCAATTCTGTAAGAGTAGCTTTTAACAAATGGTCTTTTCTCACTGTCCTCTACAACTCACCCTGAATTCTTTCCCGCATGAGATCCAAGAACCCTCTCTTGGGGTCTGGATCAAGACCCTTTTTTAGCAACAAATTAGCTTTTTGTATCATTTGGCCATTTTTGATGGGGGTGTTTATATTTTTGTAGTGATTTAGAAGTACTCCTTTATTTGAAAAAGTTTAAATATGCTGATAAGAAAAAAGGCCAATATAACAAACACCTGGGTACCAATCATCCAAATGAACAAATGTTGATATTTTTGTCATATTTGTATCAAACCTGTTTTTAAGGAAATAAAAATTGAGGCCAGACATGGTGGCTCACGTCTGTAATCCCAACATGTTGGGAGGCTGAGATGGGAGGACTGCTTGAGCCCAGGAGTTCAAGACCAGCCTGGACAACATAGCAAGACTCCATCTCTACAAAAATTTTAAAAACTAGCCAGGTGTGGTGGTGCACACATGTAGTCCAAGCTGCTCGGAAGGCTGAGGTGAGAGGATTGTTTGAGTCTGGGAGGTTGCAGCTTCGGCGAGCTATGATTATACCACTGCACTCCAGCCTGGGCAACAGAGCAAGACCCTGTCTCTTAAAAACATTAATAAATAAAATTTAAATAATAAAAAATTGCAGATGAAAATGTACTTACTGAGTTCACCTTCCCAGTCTGAACAACCACTCATGGTTTTTATACCTTTGCTATGTACATAGTATTGTTTTGGTTATGTTTATTTTAATTTATATTAATGGTGTCAAATTATAAATATTCTTTTGTAGCTCATTAAACCCTGTGTTTCTAAGATTCAACCATATTCATTCATTTTAATTGTATAATATTACCTTGTATAACTCTTCCATGTTTGGTTTATGTTTCACATTTGAGACCCCCTTGATGGATATTAAATCCCTGCCCCCTGCCCCGCCCGCTCCCCACCAGTTTCACTATTACAAAGAACATGGATAAACATCTTTGGTTTTACTTCACATGTTTCCATATGCAAGAGCTTCTTTTTTTTTGAGACAGTATCTCAATCTGTCGCCCAAGCTAGAGTGCAGTGGCACAATCACAGATCACTGCAGTCTCGACCTCCTGGGCTCCAACTATCCTCCTGAGCACCTGGGACCACAGGCACATGTCACCACGCCAAGCTAATTTTGTATTTTTTTGCAGAGATAAGATTTCCTGATGTTACCCAGGCTAGTCTCGAACTGCTGACCTCAAGCAATCTGCCTGCCTTGGCCTCTCAAAGTGCTGGGGTTACAGGCGTGAGCCACCATGCCCAGCTGAGAGTTTCTTTGGACGTGGAATTTCTGGGTTTTAGGGACATATATGTATCTTTTTAATTTTTTTTTGAGACAGGGTCTTGCTATGTTTCCTAGGCTGCTAGTCTCTAGCAGCTCTCTAACTCTGGGCTCAAGCAATCCTCCTGCCTCAGCATCCCAAAATGCTAGGATTATGGGCATGAGCCACCATATCCAGCCAATGTATCTTCTACTTCACATATTATAAAATTGCTGTCCAAAGCGGTTATACCAATTTATACTTTCCACAGAAGTGTATGAGAGTTCCCATTCCATATCCTGGCAATATTAAATAATATCTCAAGCTTAAAATTCTTTTCTCAAATTAATGGATATAATGGTATCTCTTTTTTTTTTAATTTTTTTCAGACAGTCTTGCTCTGTCGCCCAGGCTGGAGTGCAGTGGCGCAATCACGGCTCACTGCAACCTCTGCCTCCCAGATTCAAGCGATTCTCCTGCCTCAGCCTCCCGAGTAGCTGGGATTACAGGCATCTGCCACCACACTCAACTAATTTTGTATTTTTAGTAGAGACAGGGTTTCACCATGTTGGTCAGGCTGGTCCCGAACTCCTGACCTCGTGATCCACTGGCCTCAGCCTCCCAAAGTGCTGGGATTACAGGCATGAGCCACCGTGCCTGGCCGGCATCTCATTGTTTTTAACTTGTCTTTTCCCTCATTGTTAATGATATTGAGCATATTTACATACGTTGAGTTTCTTCATCTGTGAATTGCCTATCCTAATTCTTTTTTTAATGAATTTTATTGTGAATATTTAAGATGTACAGCGTAATGTTATGAGATACATGTATATATAGATAGTAAAATATTTATCATAGTGAAACCAATTAACGTAGCCATCATCTCACATAGTTACCCATTTTTCCCACAGTGGCAAGAGCAACTATACTCTGCACATTTAGCAAAAATCCTGATAAAATAAATTACTAATTGTCGTCCTCAGCTAGGCGCAAATGCTCATGCCTGTAAACCTAGCACTTTGGGAGGCCAAGGGCGGAGACTCGCTTGAGCCCAGAAGTTCAAGACCAGCCTGGGCAACATGGTGAAACCCTGTCTCTAGTAAAAATACAAAAATTAGCTGGGCATAATGGTACACACCTGTGGTCCCAGCTACTTGGGAGGCTGAAGCAGGAGGATTCCTTGAACCCTGGAGGCAGAGGTTGAAATGCTGAGATTGCTTCATTGCAGTCCAGCCTGGGTGACAGAGTGAGACTCTGTCTCAAAAAAACCCCCAAAACCAAAAAACTATATTCCTTATGGAATCACACATTGGATCTTGAAATTTGTTCAATTTACATATTTGCTACTCTGGATCCTTTGACATCTCTCTCAATCTCTTCCTCATCACCCTACCCCTGGTAGCCGCTTTTATTCTCTGTCTCTGTATATTTGACCTTTTCTTTGAGACTGAGTTTCGCTCTTGTCGCCCAGGCTGGAGTGCAATGGCTCACCGCAAACTCTGCCTCCCAGGTTCAAGCGATTCTCCTGCCTCAGCCTCCCAGGTAGCTGGGATTACAGGTGCCCGCCACCACGCCCAGCTAATTTTATATTTTTAGTAGGGACAGGGTTTAACCATGTTGGCCAAGCTGGTCTCCTGGTAACATTAAATAATATCAAACTTAAAATTCTTTTCTCAAATTAATGGGTATAATGGTATCTCTTTTTTATTTTTATTTTTTTGAGACAAAGTCTCACTCTGTTGCCCAGGCTGGAGTGCAGTGGCGTGATCTCAGCTCACTGTAACCTCCACCTCCTGGGTTCAAGTGATTCTCCTGCCTCAGCCTCCTGAGTAGGTGGGATTACAGGCACCCGCCACCATGCCCAGCTATTTTTTTTATTTTTAGTAGAGACGGGGTTTCACCAGGTTGGCCAGCCTGGTCTTGAACTCCTGACCTCAGGTGATGCACCCGCCTCCACAAAGTGCTGGGATTACAGGCGTGAGCTACCGCACCCGGCCTGTAGTAAATCTTAATGGCTAATAGCTTTATAGTAAATCCTGCTATCTGGTAGGGCAAGTTCTCTCTCCTTGTTCATCTTTTCCGCAAAGAACTTTCCTATGAATGACCTTAGGGAGCGGGGGGTTTTTTTCTTTCTTTCTTTCTTTTTTTTTTTTTTAGATGGAGTTTCGCTCCGTCTCCCAGGCTGGAGTGCAATGGCACAATCTCGGCTCACTGCAACCTCTGCCTTTGGGGTTGAAGCGATTCTCCTGCTTCAGCCTCCCAAGTAACTGGGATTACAGGCACGCGCCAACATGCCCGGCTAATTTTGTATTTTTGGAAGAGACGGGGTTTCTCCATGTTGGTCAGGCTGGTCTCAAACTCCCGACCTCAGGTGATCAGCCCACCTCGGCCTCCCAAAGTACTGGGATTACAGGCGTGAGCCACTGCACCCTGCCAGGGATCAGTTTTTAAAGTTCCTTTTAAAATATTCTGTTGGGATTTTGTTAGAAATTGCATTTAATTCACAGGGTAACATGGAAAGAATCAATGTTGTAATGAGCATTCTAATAATCATGGTATATATTACTTCTTATTCTGTCTGTTTTAGTTCATAGTCCCTCTCCTCCTGCTGCTCAGTAGTGGACCTAAGGTAAGGATTTGAGTGCAAGTACCTTATGTGGGAGGTAATCCTAGGAAAACGAGCAGCAGAGTGGGGAAGAGATTCAAGGAAGGGAGAGCAGTCGATTGCACATTATCAAGCAAATGGGCAACTGGAGCTTAATCCTGCTGGGAAACCCTTAGAATAGCTACAGAATGTGTGTCCCAGAGTTATCCTACCTGACAAGTGAGAAGCTGGGGTATTTACGCAACTTCCTTCAGTCATTGACTGAGAGCTCAGCTCCTAGCAGGCATTAATTCCCCAGCTCTTCTAGCCTCCTGACCCAGCGTGCAAGGAAATGGTAAGTGCCAAGGAGCACTAACAGTGTCTGCTAAGCTACCGAATGGTCTTAAAAATATATATGTAATATATATAAACACATATTTATATATAATAATAAATATATATTATATATTAATACATAATTATATAAAATATATGTGAAATATATTTAGGAAAACAAATTATATAAAAATATATTATAGATTATATATTAAAATATATTAGATAATATATATTATAATATATAACTATATGTTAATGTGATTAACATGTTGTATAATATATGACATATGTTATATATAACATATACAATATATTATATATGTTTAATATATTATACATTTTTAATATATAATACATTTTACTATCTATTATATATACATGGAGTACAAGTGCAGCTTTATTGCGTGCATATATTGCTTAGCAGTGAAGTCTCGGCTGTTAGTGTACACATCATCTGAATAGTGAATATTGTACCCAATAGGTAATTTTTCAATCCTCACCCTTCTCCCACCCTCTCACCTTTTGTAGTCTCCAATGTCTATTATCCCACTCTGTGTGTCTATATGTACACATTATTTAGCTCCCACTAATAAGTGAGAACATGTGGCATTTGACTTTCTGTTCCTGAGTTATTTCACTTAGGATCATGGCCTCCAGTTCCATCCATGTTGCTGCAAAAGATATGACTTCATTCTTTTCTATGGCTAAGTATTACAGTATTCCATGGTATATGCACATACTACATTTTATCCAATTCTCCTTTGACAAACACTTAGGTTGATCCCCTGTCTTTGTGATTATTGTGAACAGTGCTGCAATAAATATTCCAGTGCAAGTCTCTTTTTAATACAATGATTTCTTTCCCTAAAGAGTCTTTTGGAAATTCAGACACAAGCAACTTTCTCCCCTGCCTAAAATTTTTTGTTGTAGAGAAATTCAAAATTGTTGACATGGCCTATGGGTTTCTACACACTGGCTACGAACTCCTTTCCTGCTTCACCCTGCCACCTCCTTTCCCAGGAAGTTTGCTCTCTAGCCCCGCTGAACCATTGTCCCTCCACTCCCTCAGAGGCAGCCAGATTCTGTCAAACCCTCGCTTCTTTGCATTTGTTGTTTTCTCTACGTCTAATGCCCTTCCCTTATTTTTCTTCCTAGAGAAACCCTTCTGGGAACCAGAGTGGTTAGGAACATGGACATTGAAGTTAGAGCTGGAATCGAAACTCAGTTCGAATGCAGCCACCTTTTTGCTTTGCTGAGTGGGAAATGCAAGAGGGAGGCTAGAGGTAAAGCTGGGCAGGCTTGAGAGTTTTTGAGAGAAATGTTGGAATGCTGGGGAGGAAAAAGGTTCAGGAAGGGCTGAGGAGGTTTGCCATCTGAGTTTTGATGTTTCTCTTTATTGTTTCTCCATGGAAATAAATGTATTTATTTATTTAATATTTTGAGACAGCAGGGCCTTGCTCTGTCGCCCAGGCTGGAGTGCAGTGGCGCGATCTTGGCTCACCACAGTCTCTGTCTCCCAGGCTAAAGCGATCCTCCCACCTCAGCGTCCCAATTAGCTGGGTCTACAGGCGCACACCACCATGCCTGGCTAATTCTTTTGTATTTGTTGCAGAGATGGAGCTTTGTCACGTTTCCCAGGCTGGTCTTGAGCTACTGAACTCAAGCGATCTACCTGCCTCAGCCTCCAAAAGTGCTGAGATTGCAGGTGTGAGCAATTTAAATTTAAAATATAAATTTCAAATTAAAAAAATTTTTTGGCCAGGTGCAGTGGCTCACGCCTGTAATCCCAGCACTTTGGGAGGCCAAGGTGGGCAGATCAGCTGAGGTCAGGAGTTCAAGACCAGCCTGGCCAACATGGTGAAACCCTGTCTCTACTAAAAATACAAAAGTTAGCCGGGCGTGGTGGCAGGTGCCTGTAATCCCAGCTACTCAGGAGGCTGAGGCAGGAGAATCGCTTGAACCCAGGAGGCAGAGGTTGCAGTGAGCCGAGATCACGCCATTGCACTCCAGCCTGGGCAACAAGAGCGAAATTCTGTCTCAAAAAAAAAAATTTTTTTTTAATTTTTTGTAGAAACAGGGGTCTTACTATGTGGCCTCAGCTGGTCTTGAACTACTAGCTTCAAGCAGTCCTCCCGCCTCAGCCTCCCAAAGTGCTGAGACTACAGGATTGAGCCACTGCACCTAGCCTCTCCATGGAAATTGCCATAAAATGTAAATTATTTGTCAAGGGAAAAAAATCTTCTCTGACAGTTAATTTGGGCAAGTCACCTAACCTTTCTGAGGCTGTTTCCTTATTTGTATAGTGGAGATAATACCTCATTCTTACCTTATAGAACTGTTGTATTAATTATCTATTGCTGAATAGCAAATTACCTTCAAATTTAGTGACTTGTTACAACATAAGATATTTATTATCTTAATCAAACAGTTTCTGTGAGTCAGGAATTCAGGAGCAACTTAGCTAATTGGTTCTAGATCATGGTCTCTCTGCAGCCAAAGTATCCACTGGGGCTGTGATCAACTGCAGGGTTCACTGGAGTGGGAAGATCTGCTTCCAGGATGGTTCAGTCACATGACTGACAAGTTGATGCTGGTTTTTGGCAGGAGGCCTCAGTTTCTCACCACGTGGGCCTCTCCATAGAGCTGCTTGAGTGTCCTCATAAAACGGCAGCTGCTTTGTCTAGAACAGATTATGCAAGAGAAAGCAAAAGGAAGTTGCATATGTCTTTCATGACCAAGCCTTGGAAGTCACAATGTGTGCCATACTCTATTGGTCACAGGCCAGGCATGATTCAGTATTGAGGGAGGCTATACAAAGGCATGAACACAGGACTTGAGGATCACTGGGGGCCATCTTGGCTGGCTACCACAGAGGATGACATGAAGAGTGCTTAGTGTGGTTTTGAATTATAGCTTTCATTATCACTCAGCTTCCGGACTCCCTCCACAAATGTCATTTCTTCTGAGAAACCCTCTAGATCACCACAGGTAGTTATGAAATAGCCTTGCCAAAAACAATCAAAGTGGAATCTGTACAAGCTTTTATTATTTTCCAACTTCAAGATCCTGATTTGAGGCATTGAAGGAAGAGGAATTTTTACCTCAGGTAAAGTCTCTTGGCTGGTTCAGGCCTTCCTACCTCTCTCTGTTCCCTTGTCACTGAACATCAGAGCCAGCACATTCTCCTCTAAAATAAATGAAAAAATAATAATACATTAGAATTCATGAAAATTAAAATCTTCTACTGCACAAAAGACACCTTTAAGAAAATGTAGTGGCTCACGCCTGTAATCCCAGCACTTTGGGAGGCCAAGGTGGGCAGATCAACTGAGGTCAGGAGTTTAAGACCAGTATGGCCAACATGATGAAACCCCGTCTCTACTAAAAATACAAAAAATTAGCTGGGCATGGTAGTGCATGCCTATAGTCCCAGCTACTTGGGAGGCTGAGGCAGGAGAATCACTTGAACCCAGGAGGTAGAGGTTGCAGTAAGCCGAGATCGTGCCATTGCACTCCGGCCTGAGCAACAAGAGCAAAACTCTGTCTCAAAAAAAAAAAACACAAAAGAAAATGTAAATGCAACCAATGAGAGAAAACATTCCCAATGCATATATCCAGGAAAGGACTCCGAAATAAAATACTCTAAAATAAAGAACTCCTTTAACTCAGTAATAAAACACAAACAACCCATTTTCTAAATGTGCAGAGCACTTTAAAAATATTTTATAACAGAAGATATTCAGATGGTAAATAAGAATATGACAAGATGCCCAACATCATTAGTTATTAGGGAAATGCAAATTAAAATCACAATGGGACACAACTGCATATGCAGGAGAATGACGAAAGTTAAAGACTGACACTACCAAGAGTTGATAGGGTTGTGAAACAACTGGAATTCTCATACACCTCTTTTTTTTTTTTTTTTTTTTTTTTTGAGATAGGTTCTCACTCTGTGGCCCAAACTGGAGTGCAGTGGTGCGATCTCGGCTCACTGCAATCTCTGCCTCCCAGGCTCAAGTGATTCTCCTGCCTCAGCCTCCCAAGTAGCTTGGATTACAGGTGCATGCCACTACCACCCAGCTAATTTTTGTATTTTTAGTAGAGATGGGGTTTCACCATGTTGCCTAGGCTAGTCTTGAACTCCTGACCTCAATGATCCACCTGCCTCGGCCTCCCAAAGTGCTGGGATTACAGGCGTGAGCCACTGCGCCAGGACCGAATTCTCATACACTTCTGACGGGAGTGTAAAATGGGGCACAACCACTTTGAAAAACTGTTAGACGGTTATCTTGTAAAGATAAACATACATGTACCATATAACCTAGCAATTCTTCTATTTACCCAAGAAGAGTGAAAACATATGGCCACACAAAGACTTATACATACATGTTTTATAAGAGTTTATATATAATATCCTCAAACTGGAAACAAGTCAAATGTTCATCACCTAGTAAGTGGATCGACAAATTGTGTTATGTTTGAGCTATAAAATACTACTCATCATCAATAAAAGTGAACAAATTATTGATACATATAGCATAATGAATGAATCTCAAAAATCAATATGCTGATTCCATTTATACAAATTTCAAGAGCAGACAAAACTAATCTACGGACGTTAAAATAAAATCAAGGGCTGGGTGTGAAGGCTCATGCCCATAATCCCAGCACTTTGGGAGGCTGAGGTGGTAGGATCATTTGAGCCTAGGAGTTCAAGGCCAGCCTGGGCAACACAATGAGACCCCATCTCTACAAAAAATTTTCAAGAAATTTGCCAGGCATGGTGGCACTCACCTGTGGTCCCAGCTACTTGGGAGGCTGAGGCAAGAGGATCCCTTGAGCCTGAGAGTTTGAGGTTATAGTGAGCTGTGATTGTGCCACTGTACTCCAGCCTGGGCAACAGAGCAAGATCCTGTCTCAAAACAAACAAACAAAAAAATGAAATCAGTGGTTGCCTAGGGTTAGGTGAGGGATTTGACTGCAAAAGGGTCTCGACTTGTGTGTGTGTGTGTGTGTGTGTGTGTGTGTGTATGTTGTTATTTTGTTATTACTTTTCATTGAGAGTCTCCCAGAATTTTCTGTGGTCATGGAATGACACTGATTTGGGGAGGGAGTGGTAATAGTTTCACAATTGCATACATTTGTCAAATATTGTCAAATGAAATATACATTTTATTATAAATATATTATACCTCTGTAAAAAAAAGATTGTTACAGATTTTTTTTTTTTAGACAGGGTCTGGCTCTGTGGCCCAGGCTGGCGTGCAGTGGCACGATCTCAGCTCACTGCAACCTTTGCCTCCTGGGTTCAAGCAATTCTCCTGTCTCAGCCTCCTGAGTAGCTGGGACTACAGGCACGTGCTACCATGCCCAGCTAATTTTTGTATTTTTAGTAGAGATGGGGTTTTACCATGCTGGCCAGGCTGGTCTCGAAATCCTGACCTTGTGGTCCGCCTGCCTCAGCCTCCCAAAGTGCTAGGATTATAGGCATGAGCCACTGTGCCTGGCCTGTCACAGATTATTTTTAAAAGATCATTGTTAACGATTACATGCAATATCTCAGATCATCCATGACTAGGGTTACCAGATTTAACAAATAAAAATACAAGGACTCAGTTAAATTAGAATTACACCTAATTGCCTATGCATATGTATGTTGATATAAAAATTATTGCATGGGACATTCACTAAAAGTATTTATTTGCTTATACAAAACAAATTATAAGTATCTGAGTTATATATTTCTCTAATTATATTTTTGACCACTGTAATTAAGGATTCTTGTTTTTGAAATTTGCCTATAAAATTCCTTGTAGATATAATCTATAGTTATTTTCATTGTAACATAGCTTCAACAATGGTCATATCTAACTTATTTCAGTTGTCCATTGCACATTCATTAGTTAGATAACATGCTCAACATTAGCAATATGAGGCTGCATACTGAATGATATGGTTTGGATCTGTGTCCCCACCAAATCTCATGTCAAACTGTAATCCCCAGTGTTGGAGATGGAGCCTGGTGGGAGGTGATTGGATCGTAGTGGTGGTTTAACACCTTCTCCTTGGTGCTGTACTCATGATAGTGAGTGTGTGCTCTCAAGACTTAGTTGTTTAAAAATGTGTAACACCTCCCCTCTTTCTCTCTTGCTCCTGCTCTAGCCATGTAAGATGTGCCTGCTTCTCCTTCACCTTCTGCCATGATTATAAGTCTCCTGAGGCCTCCGCAGAAACAGAAGCCACCATGCTTCCTGTATAGCCTGCAGAACTGTGAGCCAATTAAACCTCTTTTTAAAATAAATTACCCAGTCTCAGGTATTTCTTTATAGCGATGTGAGAAGAAACATTCAGAAAATTGTTACCAAGGACTGGGTCATTGCTATAAAGATACTTGAAAATGTGGAAGCAGCTTTGGAATTGGGTAATCAACAGAGGTTGGAAGAATGTGAAGGGCTCAGAAGAAGATAGGAAGATGAAGGAAAGTTTGGAACTTGCTAAAGACTTGCGAAATTGTTGTGACCAAAATGCTTATAGTGATACAGACAGTGAAGTCCAGGCTGAAGAGGTCTCAGATGGAGATGACGAATTTATTGGGAACTGGAGCAAAGATCACTTTTATTATGTGTTAGCAAAGAGGTTGGATGCATTGTGCCTCTGCCCTAGGGATCTGTGGAACTTTGAACTTGAAAATGATGATTTAGTGCATCTGATAGAAGAAATTTCTAAGCAGTAAAGCCTCCAAAATGTGACCCAGCTGCTTCTAACAACCTATGCTCACATGTGTGAGCAAAGAAATGACTTGAAACTTGAGCTTATATTTAAGAGGGAAACAGAACATAAAAGTTTGGAAAATGTGCAGCCTGGCCATGTGGTAGGAAATAAAAGCCCATTTTCAGGGGAGGAATTCAAGCAGGCTGCATAAATTTGCATAAGAAAACAGAAGCCAGGCGGGTTGTGGTGGCTCATGCCTGTAATCCTAGCACTGTGGGAGGCCAAGGTGGGTAGATGACTTGAGGTCAGGAGTTCAAGACCAACCTGGCCAACATGGCAAAACCCTGTCTATACTAAAAATACCAAAATTAGCTGGGCATGGTGGTAGGCACCTGTAGTCCCAGCCACTCAGAAGGCTGAGGCAGGAAAATTGAAAGAAGCCAAGTGCTAACATCCAAGACAATGGGAAAGAGGCCTCACAGGCATTTCAGAGACCTTCTTGGCAGCCCCTCCCATTATAGGCCCAGAGGCCGAGTAGGGAAGAATGTTTTTTTGGGGCCAGGCCCAGGGCCCCACTGCCCTGTGCAGCCTTAGGACACTGTTCCCTGCATCCCAGTCACTCCAGATTTAGCCACAACTAAAAGGGGCCCAGGTACAACTCAGGCTGCTGCTTCAGAGGGTATAAGCCATAAGCCAAGGCTTCTATGTAGTGTTAGCCCTGCAGGTGCAGAGAGTGTAAGAGTTGAGGCTTGGGAACCTCTGCCTAGATTTCAGAGGCTATATAGAAAAACCTGGATGCCTAGGCAGAAGCATACTGCAGGGGTGGAGCCCTCACGGAGAACCTCTACTAGGGCAGTGTGAAGGGGAAATGTGGGGTTGGAGCCCCCACACAGAGTCCCCACACAGGGTCCCCACTGGAGCACTGCCTAGTGGAGCTGTGAGAAGAAAGCCACTGTCCTCCACCTCCACTAGGCAGTAGAATGGTAGATCCACTGAGAGCTTGCACCTTGCACCTGGAAAAGCCAGAGGCACTCAACAGAAGCCCATGAGAGAAGCCTCAGGGCCTAAACCCTGCAAAGCCACAGGGGTGGCACTGCCCAAGGCTTTGAGAGCCCACCCCTCATACCAGTGTGCCCTAGATGTGGGACATGGGGTCAAAGGAGATTATTTTGGAGCTTTAAGATTTAATGACTGCCCTTCTGGGTTTCAGACTTGCATGGGGACTGTGGCCCATTTCTTTTGTCCAATTTCTCCCTTTTGGAAGGGGATTATTTACCCAATGCCTGTACCCCCACAGTATCTTGGAAGTAACTAACTTGTTTTTGATTTTACAGGCTCATAGGTGGAAGGGACTAGCCTTGTCTCAGATGAGGCTTTTGATGGTGAACTTTTGAGTTAATGATGGAATGAGTTAAGACTTTAGGGGACTGTTGGGAAGGGATGATTGTATTTTGAAATGTGAGAAGGACATGAGATTTGGAGGGCCGGGGAAAAGTGATGTGGTTTGGATCTGTGTCCCCACCAAATCTCATGTCAAATTGTAATCCCCAGTGTTGGAGGTGGGGCCTGGTGGGACGTGATTGGATTGTGGGCGTGGTTTCTCATGAATGGTTTGGCACCCTCCCCTTGGTGCTACACTTGTGATAGTGAATGCTCATGAGATCTGGTTGTTTAAAAGTATGTAGCACCTTCCCCTCTCTCTCTTGCTCCTCCTCCAGCCATGTAAGATGTGCCTGCTTCTCCTTTGTCTTCTGCCATGATTGTAAGTTTCCTGAGGCCTCCACAGAAGCAGAAGCCACTATGCTTCCTGTACAGCCTGCAGAACCATGAGCCAATTAAGACTCTTTTCTTTATAAATTACCTAGTCATTCCTGTACAGCCTGCAGAACCATGAGCCAATTAAGCCTCTTTTCTTTATAAATTACCCAGTCTTTCCTGAAGTAGCAGGTCCATAAAATACAGAAAATACAAAATACCCAGTCCAAGGTATTTTTTATAACAGTGCAAGAATGGACTAATACACAGAACATATTCTAGGATAAAGTTAACAACCCTGAAAATTGCTCTTCAGATTTGGTTCATTAAAGCAAATACCAACTTTCATGGCACAACTTGATTTTCTATTCTTCAGGATTGTTTCATCTCTTGATCAATAACTTAAAAATGCTGCCCCCCCCAACAAAAAAGAGCATTATCATCATTTTTTATTCCTTTCTTCTTCAACACTAAATATGAGGATTCCACTTGTTCCCATGCTAGAAGAGTATTCATTAATATCCATATAAAAGAATAAAATTCTTGACCAGGCACGGTGGCTCATGCCTGTAATCCTAGCACTTTGAGGCCAAGGCAGGTGGATTGCTTGAGGCCAGGAGTTCGAGATCAGCCTGGCCAACATGGTGAAACCCTGTCTCTACTAAAATTACAAAAACTTAGCCAGGCATGATAAAGCACGCCTGTAATCTCAGCTATGTCGGGAAGCTGAGGCACAAGAATTGCTTGAACCCAGGAGGTGGAGGTTGCAAGGAGCTGAGATCATGCCACCGTACTCCAGCCTGGGCAGCAGTGAGTCTCTGTCAAAAAAAAAAAAAAAAAGAATAAAATTCTTCACGGGATGAAATCCATTTCAAAAGGTAATCATGACAAGTGCTGTAATAATTATTCACTTCAAGTCAGACTTTTTCTTGTTCGTAAGTAATGTTGTCCCTTTTAAGAACAGCCTTGACACTTAAAGGGTTACATTTTTCTTCATCAATTATTCATTTAATGCATTCAAGAGTTCTCTTAAGCAATGGAGTATTTCAATACCGCTGTTTGCTGTTTTTTCTTTGGCATAATCCTATTGCTGAAAAGGTTTCCCTCAATGGATTACTTTAAAAGTCAGTAAGAAATTTGGGGACCTTTTCTTTTTTTCTTTCTGTTTTTTTTTTTTTTTTTTTTTTTTTTTTTTTTTTACAAAGAGAGATGAGGTCTTGCTCTGTTACCCAGGCTAGAGTGCATAGGTCATAACTCACTGCAACCTTGAACTCCTGGGCTCAGGCTCTCTCCCCACCCCAGCCTCCTGAGTAGCCGGGACAACAGGCATGTGCCACTATGCCCGGTTAATTTTTAAATTTTTAAAATAGAGATAGAGTCTCACTATGTTACCCAGACTAGTCTGGAACTCCTGCCTCAAGGGATCCTCCCACTGTGGCCTCCCCAGTAGCTGGTATTACAGGCGTGCCACTGTGCCTAGCCCGAGAGCTTTTCCTTTAAAATTAAAATATGTTTTCAGTACTTCAAATAAACTGAGGAGTCTCTCAAATCCATATGTTAAAGAATGCTGGCTGGGCGCGGTGGCTCACGCCTATAATCCCAGCACGTTGGGAGGCCAAGGCAGGTGGATCACCTGAGGTCAGGAGTTCAAGACCAGCCTAACCAACATAATGAAACCCCATGTCTACTAAAAATACAAAATTAGCCAGGCGTGGTGCTGCATGCCTGTAATCTCAGCAACTCAGGAGGCTGAGGCAGGAGAATGACTTGAACCCAAGAGGCGGAGGTTGTAGTGAGCTGAGATTGTGCCATTGCACTCCTGCCTGGGCAATGAGAGCGAAAGTCCATCTCAAAAAAAAAAAAAAGAGCTAACAGGTTTTTTGAATGCAAGAGAATTGAGGAATACTAAATGCCAACAAAATCACAAAAATATCTTAATTGTTCAGTTCAAATATTATAAACGCTGACATAAGAATAATTTCAGGACAGTTGCTTCAAAGGCAATGGAAAAGACATCATATGCTGTTTGAGCAGCATTACACAGAATATGAGCAGGACAGTCAATAGCTTCCATAGCATCAGTCAAGCTTTACTTTAGTTTTGAATAAACATAGTGCGAGCATCTACCAATATTTTATTTGTATTTTTCCATCAAAAACTGTACAGTTTTTAATAACTCCTAATTCATTAGGAGAATCTCTGCAACAATTTGTTCATTTCTGAAATCTCATCTGGAAGGGATTTTACACAAAATAGCCCCATAAGCAAGCCTTTTTCACAAGGAAACTGTTGCACAGGCAAAGGAAAAGCTTTTCTTCACTGTGATTACTCACATCCATGGTTATGCTATAAAACAGCAAGGCATTTACAGCTTTGATAATCACTGCAACAGTAGTAAGTGGAGTCGTTACATCTCAAATTATTGCAGTAGATTTTGTCCTGGCATTTGAAAATTTGCTTGAAATATTGGCATTAGAAAATACTACTGGTAGCGGTATGTTCAAAGAGTGACTTGAGCTGAATGATGACAACAGACAGTATGGGAGGCCATTACAACTTTGCTGTGATTATCTTCTCAATCTGAATTTATCTTTAAAATTTGTCATTTTATCCATTCCTTTGGTACAAAAATCACACATCTTTTATGCTTAGCCGTTAGTATGTGCTGATGTATATCTGTCTTTCCACCATTTTCAATATTGAATAAATACTTGCATACCACATAAAGAGCTGCAAATGGATTTTCTCTCCTTTAATAAATGTACACTCTTCAGAAAATTTGTCATAAAATTCACTCTTGCAATTTGGCATTTGTGGATTCACATATACACAAATAAAGAAATAGATAACACAATCGATTTTCAACAAGGGTACCAAGACAATTCAATGGGGAAAAAAATAGTCTGTTCAACAAATGGTGCTGAGACAAGTGAATAGCCACATGGAAAAGAATCAAGTTGGATCCCTGCCTCACATCATATAGAAAAATTAATTTGGAATTAATCAAAGATCTAAAATGTAAGAGCCAAAATTATTAAACTCTTAGAAGAAAATGTAAGAGGTACGTCTTCATGACTTTGGATTAGGCAATAGTTTCCTAGTTATGACACATAGAGCACAAGCAACAAAAGAAAAAAATTGATAAACTGGATATCATTAAAATTTTAAAGTTTTGTGTTTCAAACAACAATATCAAGAATGTGAAAAGACAACCCACAGAATGGGATAAAATTTTTGCAAATTGTATTTCTGATAAGGTACTTATATCTAGACTATATAAAGAGCTACCACAACATAATAAAAGGACAAGTAACCAAGTAAAAATGGTCAAAAAATTCGAGCAGACATTCCTCCAAAGAAGAGGTATAGGCCAGGCACGGCGGCTCATGCCTGTAATCCCAGCACTTTGTGAGGCTGAGGTGGGCAGATCACCTGAGGTCGGGAGTTTGAGATCAGCCTGACCAACATGGAGAAACCCCGTCTCTACTAAAAATACAAAATTAGCTGGGCGCGGTGGCGCATGCCTGTAATCCCAGCTACTCGGGAGGCTGAGGCAGGAGAATCGCTTGAACCCGGGAGGCAGAGGTTGCGTTGAGCTGAGATCATGCCATTGCACTCCAGCCTGGGCAACAAGAGTGAAACTCCGTCTCAAAAAAAAAAAAAAAAAAAAAAAAAGGAGGAGGTCCAAATGGCTAATAAGCACATGAAGAGATGCTTGACATCATTAGCTATCAGGAAATATAAGCCAAAACCACAATGAGATACCACTTCATACCCTCTAAAATGGCTATAGTGAAAAAGATAATGAGTATTAGGGAAGATATGGAAAAATTAGAACCCACATATGATGCTGGTGAGAATATAAATGGTGCAGCCACTTTGGAAAACCGTTTGGCAGTTCCTCAAAAGGTTAAACGTAGAGTTACCATGTGATCCAGAAACCCACTCCTAGATCGCCAAGGAAACAAACTGTGTGTCCACAAAAAAACTTGTACACAAATGTTAATAATAGCATTAGCTACAAAACATAGCAAAACAGTGGAAACAATCTGACTGTTCATTAACAGATAAATGGATAAGCAAGATGTGGTATATCCATTCAATGTAATAATATTCAACCATGAAAAGGAACAAAATTCTGATACATGCTGCAACATGGATGAACCTTATAAACATTATGCTAAATGGAAGAAGCCAGTCATGAAAAACCATATATTGAATGATGCTGATAACATGAAATGTCCAGAATAGGCAAATTAAAAGGTTAGTGGTTGCCTAGGGCTGGGGTGGTTGGGAAGAAATGGAGGAATGACTGCTAATAGGTACAGGATTTTCCTGTTGGAGTGATAAAAATGTTCTAAAATTGATTGTGGTGGTGGTTGCACAAATCTGTGCCTATACTCATTGATTTTTTTTTTTTTTTTTGAGACAGGGTCTCACTCAGTCCCCCATGCTGGAGTGCAGTGGCCTGATCTTAACTCACTGCATCCTAGACCTCCCAGGCTCAAGCGATCCTCCCATCTCAGTCTCCTGAATAGCTGCGACTACAGACACATGCCACTATGCCTGGCCAATTTGTGTGTGTGTGCATATATGAAATATATTTGTATACATAAATTATAATATAAATATATATTTTTATAAATAAACTATATATATATAGAGAGAGAGAGACAGAGAGATGAGGTTTTGCCACGTTGCCCAGGCTGGTCTCAAACTCTTGGGCTCAAGAAATCCACTTGTCTTAGTCTCCCAAATTGCTGGGACTGCAGGCGTGCACCACCACGTGTAGCCCCGTTGAATTGTTTTTAGAGCTGATTTTCAGAGCTTTTGCACCGATGGGAAGTTATCTCTAAATAATGGTGGTTACTTGTTCATGACTCTGGACTTGAGCTAAAAAATTGATCACTGCAAGCATAGAAAGAATTGAAAGAGTTGTATTTGATAAATCTCATGACGGTGTCATAGCGTCTGTCATAAGTCCAAACTCATACCAAATAGTAACTGGGAATTGAATCTTGAGCTGTGAACTTTGAACTCGGACAAAACAATAAATTGAACTCAATATCTGATGCAAAAAAAAAGTGAATTTCTTCTCTGCTTGCAAGGGAGAGCGGTACTTGTAAGGTACAGCCTCTCTGAACAAAGCCAGAGCTGATCTTATAAAAGGTTTTGAAGGCCGGGCGCGGCTCACGCCTGTAATACCAGCACTTTGGGAGGCCAAGGCTGGCGATTCACTTGAGGCCAGGAGTTCAAGACCAGCCTGGCCAACATGGCGAAACTCTGTCTCTACTAAAAATACAAAAAATTAGCCAGGCTTGGTGGCACAGGCCTGTAATCCCAGCTACTTGGGAAGCTGAGGCACAAGAATCGCTTGAACCAGGAGGCAGAGGTTGCAGTGATCTGAGATCACGCCACTGCACTCCAGCCTGAGCAACAGAGTGCGACTCTGTCTCCAAAAAAAAAGGAGAAAAAGAAAAAAAAGGCCGGGCGCGATGGCTCAGGCCTGTAATCCCAGCACTTTGGGAGGCCAAGGCAGGCGGATCAACTGAGGTCAGGAGTTTGAGACCAGTCTGGCCAACATGGCAAAACCCGTCTCTACTAAAAATACAAAAATGAGCCAGGCGTGGTGGCGGGAGCCTGTAATCCCAGCTACTCGGTAGGCTGAGGTAGGAGAATCGCTTGAACCGGGAGGCAGAGGTTGCAGTGAGCCGAGATCGCGCCACTGCACTCCAGCCTGGGCGACAGAATGAGACTCAGTCTGGGAAAGAAAAAAAAATGGTTTTGGAAATATTCGCCTTCAGGGATTGGCTGTCTTTCCGAATCAGAAGTGGAGTGCGGCAGCTGAGTACCCACTGACTTTCGGAAGCCTGGTCGCTGGTGTCAGGCACTTGTTGATTGGCTATTGTCGGAGGCTTAGAGCGGTCACTGATTGGCTGACTTTCAGAAGCGTGGGGTTGTCATTGATTTACTAAGAAGCATAGTTACCGGAGTGAGGCTATCGCTGATTGGCTGATTTTCAGAGCTGCTGCACCGACGAGAAGTTATCTCTAAATAATGGTGGTTATTTGTTCACGACTCCGGACTTGAGCTAAAAAAGTATTTTCCTTTCTTGAATATGAAAGACGAGCACTTTAAATTCCTACTCCCTTCTGGTCTTCCCTCAGCCAAACCTGAAGGAGACACCATAGGGATTGTCCAAATCTTCATTAGTGTAGGAAGGATTTTCAGCCAGTGTTGTAATTTAAGTGATCTAGCACCAATTACTGTGGGAGAAAAATAGCTCTAATTATTGCAATTTAGTGTAAAAAGATGAATACAGGACATTTAAGGCATTCCGACGAGGTCAACGAAGGACGCAGGCCAATAATCATTAAATACGTCCTGTATATACAGGACTCCTGGCAACTATCAGTGCAGTATTTCCCAAGTTTCTTGTACATGTCCCTGCAGAAACCGGTAGAGCTAGGATCTTAACAGTAAAGGTTAGGGGTCTTCTGGGATCCTGTGCGCCTCTAACGCTCATGCCCTGCGCAGGGCTGGGTGCGCACTGCTGCGCTAACCCGAGGCCGGCTAGGAATCTATTGGATGTTTGAAGGGTGGGTGCGGAATTGATGACCAGGAAGCGGGAAGACACCGTTCCGGAGAACAGGGAAGCGAGCCGGGTACTGGGGAGGTGCGCTGGGTACTGGGGAGGTGCGCTGGATCCTGACGCCGGAGCGGAAGACTTCGCTGGAGGCCGGGGCTGGTCGGGCGGGGCGGGGCGGGCAGAGGCGGAGGGGCGGGGCCGGGCTGGGAGAGGCTCCGCCCCCGGGCGCGTCCGTGTGCGTGGCCGGGGGGCGCCGCGCAGAGCCCCGCTCTATGATGCCGGGCTTGAGGACGAGGCCGGGCGGCGCTGTGGCAACCCTCACCCTGCGGACACGCGCTCCCAACATCCGGTCCGGCGGCCTCGCAGCTTAAGAAGTGGGGTCCCTGTGGCCGTGCGCCGACCCCCAACTCCAGCCGCTCCCAACGCCCCCATCCGCTCTCGGTGCGCGCGCCCCCTCCACGCCCCCGCCCCCGCCCCCGCCGGGCCCGCGCGCCGCGCCCCCTCCCACCCGGCACGCCCTGCCGCCCCGCCCGGCCGCAGCTAGCGTGGAGCCGCCCTGCGGGCAACTGAGACCCTCGCAGCTGCACCGTCCTCCTCCGCCGCCAGTCGTCCGCCGCCATGGACGTGTACCCCCCGCGCCGGCAGGGGCTGCCCCGCGCTCGGTCCCCTGGCGGCTCCAGCCGCGGGTCACCCTCCGTCAGGTACGCGGGGCAGAGGCAGCCGAGGGGCGGCCGGGCGGGGGATGCGGGCTGTCGGGGTCCGGCGACGCCTCCCGCCGCAGGGCGTGGTCCGACATGGCTTCCTCGGGACGGTTCTTTGCTGAACGGCTCAGGGAGGAATTTTTCCCAGGAACGGCGCCCTCTGTAGAGGCCCCACAATGGCTCCCCTTTGGACAACCCCGCAACGGTTTCCCCACAATGGCTCCCCCACAGACAACCCTGCAACGGTTTCCCCACAATGGCTTCCCTAGGGACAGCGATTCCCTGTGAAGACACTGTTATGACGTCCTCACCCCCATAGAACGTTTCTCCCAGGAAGGATTCTTCTACACAGAACCCCACAGAGGCTTCCCTATGAATAACTCACTCGCCTTCCCCAGGGAATGTTTCCCTCAGAAACTGCTACTCTACAGACCTCACACCTCCACACACACAATAGCTCCCTCGTGTAGAACCCCCAAATGGATTACCTAGAAAGCCCCCTCCCGTGGGTCTCTAGAGCCTTTGCCCTTGACAACGGCTTCCTTAAAGAGTGTCCCCCGCCCCCTACGTACATAATGACAGCATCTCCCCTGTCGCGCGTTTCCCCAGCTCCCCCTGCCTCAGCCTGCATCGCGACGCCCCCTCACTCCACAATAGGGAGCTCGGGTTGGGAGGAAGTAGAGGTATTAGGGACGCAGGAGGAAAAACTGGATAAATAGGGGAAAGAGGCCTAGAACCTCCGAAAGCGGCGGACGCCAGGCCCCTTACCGTAGAGACACAGTCCCAAGCTACCTCAGTATGGGGAGGGGGTGATCGTGGGGAGCGTTCCCCGCCCCCTTTAGATATAGGAAGATCCGTTTCCGATTTCTGTGCCCTATGCGTTTGGTGCTGATCTTGTTGGTCTGGGCATTGTTTGTGATGGAGCTGGTGTGGGGCGCCGGCGCAGTGTGGAGGTTGGAATGATGGAGGGGTTGCAGCAGAGACCTTTGAGAAGGAGAGGGAGAGGGGGAATGCGAGCGATGAGCTTTGGTACTGCTAAACTGTCATTAAAACAGGAGAGGGTTTTGTTGTTGTTTGCTTTTTCTTATTCTAGCCACATAGCAAAGCAAATATATTGTTCCCTTGAAAGGAGGTTGCCAATCTACATGTTAAAACAGTTTTCTTATATTCTTGTTATGGTACTTAAGGCATATGTTTTAACTTTGCTTGCTGATCTGATTTTTGGGGTTGTTTGTTTGCTTTAACTAGACCAAATTATTGGAGAACAAGAAACTGATTCTTAGAAACCTGTTTCTTTTTTACTTCCCTGCATTCCTTTCCACAACCCAGAATCCAGTATATGTTTGTTGAACAAATAAAGGATAGAGAAGGTGGGGGGTAGATACCAATGAAACATTGCATTTAGGAGTCCTAAATTGCTTCGAATCTGTCAGGTGACATTTTTGAACTCCTGCTCTGCCCTTCAGTGTAATTCCTTGTGGGCTTTACAGTTCCAAGTTTAACTGCTTATAGTAACGCATCTCCAATCCTTTGCAACATTTCTGCCAGTTTCACTGTCTGAAGCAGAAAGTATTTGAACTTGTATAGACATTGCATAGGATACTTTAGAACAGCCATCCGTTAAATCTAGGCTCTGTGTGGACTTGAGGTTTATCCCAGATCATCTTGAGCTTAGGAATTTGGATTTGAGTCTGTTGAGATCTTTAGGGGGAAAAAAATCATCTCTACCTTAGAATCTGTCTCTTAAATGCTGCCTTTCTTGTTTTTAGTAGCATGGCCATGTGCTTTTTATTTATTCTTTTAAAGGTAGTGATTCTATGTTCAAAGAAGTATGCTGGCTCACTTTACTGATCATACCCGAACTCCAAATCTTCTATCAAGTGGTTTGAATAAAATTTGATTTCAGACAAGGAATAGTGCAAGGAACCCCAAGGCCTAGCTGCCCCCAATACCTTTGGTGAAAGAAATTTGCTGAAGGCTTCCCTCCTTTCCCCACTTCTACATGATTGAACGTGCTTTTCTTGCCCATTCAAGCCTTTCCCTTACTCTTGACATTGAATGTTACTAGCACTTTCCTGTCACCCATATATGGCTTTGCTGCTGACTGCTGAGTGATGGAAGGGGCAAACCTAACTGGTGAAGTGACATTCCTAAGACCCATAGATAGTACTCTGCAAGTGTATGGTTCTAGCACGGTAGTTCATTTTCACAGATGGAGAATGGAGATCAAGAATTAAAATATTGTTACTCAGAATGAGAGGCTTCTCTTTAAGCATGTGATAGTCATCAGTCTTACCAGGTATTTTTGGTTTCTGTCTCTTGAGCATGTAGTAGAATTTTACTTGCTTGCTTCTTTGAAGTTAGGTATGGCCTTAAGAGTTGCTTTTGGTCAGTGAAATGCGTGGGAATACTGTGTAGCCTTTCATGGTACAAATTTCTGTTGTGTAGTTTTCCATTCTCTTTCCTTCTGTCATGGTAGCTGTTGGGGCTGCAAATGGCAGCCACCCATCAGTCAAGGCCCCAGAGCTAGCTTCCAGGTGACCTATGCTTGACAGGTAGGTTGAGCAAGAAGTGAAACACCACCGGGATTTTGGACTTATTACCAAGGTATAAACTAACCTATCTGGATCAATGCTAAGGAACCAGTGGAAATCTAGCTGAAAGATACTTTCTACTTCAAAATGTTTTTCTGTAGAGCGATCTGTTCCTGCTTGAAACTTCTTTAATAGTTTAAATTTCACTGTTTATTTATATAAATTATGCAACAAGTACTCTGTTAGGTGCTGTAGAGTCAGATAAATACAGCAGTCCCCTGCCCTCAAATAACTCTTTTGTAAAGGGGAAGAGACAGTAACAGTAGAAATCATAATATAGAATAGTGAGTCATAAGTACTGAGGAAGAAATACGGCCGAAAGAACAATAATACAAGAAGGCCTAGTCGGTTTTTGCCTCAGCTATTGAAAGAATGGAGTTGCCATTTATTAGTATTAAGAACACTAGAAGAAGAAAAGGCAGTGTAGCAGTGTCTTCCAAGTTCTGAGAGAAAATGGTTTCCTACCTCTGAGGTGGGAGAATAATTGAGAACAGACATTGAAAGCCGAATGAGATTGTTGACAGTGTGATGAGAACTAGTAATCAGGCTGGGCACGGTGGCTCACGCCTGTAATCCCAGCACTTTGAGAGGCCAAGGTGGGTGGATCACCTGAGGTCAGGAGTTTGAGACCAGCCTGACCAACATGGTGAAACCCCACCTCTACTAAAAATACACACAAAAAAATTAGCTGGGCATGGTGGCAGGCACCTGTAGTCCCAGCTACTCGGGAGCCTGAGGCAGGAGAATCACCTGAACCTGGGAGGTGGAGGTTGCAGTGAGCCAAGATCTTGCCATTGCACTCCAGTGTGGGCAACAAGAGTGAAACTCCATCTCAAGAAAACAAAAGGACTAATAATAGACAATTAGATTCGATAATGTGGAGGGTCACTAGTGACCTTGACAAGAACAGTTTTGGTGCAGTGGGTTCAAGAGAAAATGAAGCCAGTCACCTGTAGGTCAGCTACTCGGAAGGCTGAGGTGGGAGGATCCCTTGAGTCCAGGAATTCAAGTCCAGTCTGGGCAACATAGCAAGACCCCTGTCTCTAAAAAACATAAATTGATTAATTTACAAAGCAGAAAATGAGAGGAGAATTGAAGACACTGAATATAGACAGTCATATTGATGTTCTTTTGAGGATGGTTATAAGGAGAGTAGAGTAATGGGGCTGTAGTTGGAAGATCATGAGGTGTCGAGTTCTTTTTGTTTTTATATGGGCAGATATTATAGCATGTTTGTAAATTGATGGGCTGATGCAGTAGGGAGGGACAATTGATGATTAAAGAGAAGTGACACTTGCAAGGGTGAAGTCCTTGAGTAGGTAAGATGGAATGGGATCTAGTATGTAAATGGGGATGTTGGCCTCAAGTTAGACAGGAGCAATGCCAACAATTCATTGGTGGCAGATTATGTGAACCCAAATGCTGGTAGCTTGTTGGTGGGAGAAAGTGGAAGTTCTCTTCTGATTACTTCTGTATTCTCAGGTAAATAAGAAGGAAGGTCTTCAGCTAAAAATGAAGAGAGGTGTTGGATTCATCCAAGAGAATGGGGAAGAATGAGTTGAAAATAAGGAAAAGTTTTAGGATTTCCAGGCAGCACCTAGTGCCCATTTGATGTTTGTAGTTGTAAACCTAGGTGAGACCCTACTTAGCATAGTTGTACACTTTTCCTGCAGCTGTGTTGAGCTGCTTGGATGTGGCAATGTGGAAGGGAATAGCTGAAGTAGGATGGAGGACACCACCATTGGAAGTGGGGGAATCAAGGCACTGAGAGGTAAAGATTGTGGTGAAGATTGAGGTTATCATAAATTAACAGAATGACCTAGGGACCTGTAGATGTCTGTAACAGGGAGAGATAGCAGGTAGTTATTGTTTGAAGACATGAAGAAATGATAAAAAAATAAATACATTCCTTAGAACCAAAGGACATACGTTTCCAGATTGAAAAGACTTGCGAAGAATCTAGCACAATGAATTTTAAAATATCCATGCCAGGACCACATGATCTCACTTATATGCGGTAGAATCTAAAAAAGTTGATCTTGGCCCTGGTGGGAGGATTGCTTGAGCCCAGGAGTTTGAGACCAGTCTGGGTAACATGTCGAGACCCCATCTTTACAAAGTTCAAAAAAAGAAAAATTAGCCAGGCGTGGTGGCATGCGCCTGTGATTCCAACTACTCAGGAGGCTGAGATGGGAGGATCATGTGAGCCAAGGAGGTCAAGGCTACAGCGAGCTGCGTTCATGCCACTGCACTCCAGCCTGGGCAACAGAGTGAGATCCTGTGTCAAGAAAAAAAAAAAAAGTTGATCTTATAGAAGTAGAGAGTAGAATGGTGGTAATTAGGATGTAGCGGGGATGGGGAGATGTTGATTGAAGGATATATAATTTTAGTTGGATAGGGGAATTAGTTTAAGAGATCTGTTATACAACATGGTAACTATAGTTAATGATTATATATTCTTGAAAAATGCAAACAGAGTGGATATTAAGTGTACTCATCAAAAAAAAACTATGTGAGGTGATGCATTTGTTAATTAGCTAGATTTAACTTTTCCGCAATGTATATATACTTCAAAACATCAGGTACACAAATACATATATATATCTGTCAATTTAAAATAAAAATATGCATGTCCTGGCATAGCATCATGAAATTTTCTAGCACCATGAAGACAATATCTGTAAGTCACATAGATAGGATCAGGAATGCTAGGATTCTAGCAGGATTGTAAGCTAGAAAGTAGTGGAGCAAAGAGTGCCTTTTGAAGGAAAATAGATTCCCACCCAGAATTCTGCACCCAGCCAAACTCTCAGGCAGGTGTAAGAAAGGATGAAGATATTTCACACATGTAAGTTCTCAAAATTTGACCTCACATGCCCGTTTTATGAAGAAGCTACTGGAGGATGTGCTCTAGCAAAACAGTCTGATTAAGGATTTCCCGTGCTGGCGTCCCTTCTACCATCTTCTATAGAAAGATTCTACAGATCTTTCTGTATCAAAAGGGGGCGGGGGAGCCCTCCCCACGGTCACCCCCTCCCCATACCGAGGTAGCTTGGGTGACATAGGTAGGATTTCTTTATTGTCAAGAGGGTCATTGGGAAGGATCTTCTCTATCACCCCTGGAAAGTATCAGGGGGCTGGGACTATTTTTAATTGCCATTTCTCACATTGTTTCCCTTGCTGCTTAGATTGGTGTCTGGCACATAGGACTCGCTGAGTATGAACTGCTATTGTTAGCTATTATGAAACACTGCTTCAGTAATTATTTATTGAATGAAAGATAATAATTACAGGTGAAGCTGTGGGCTATGTTAAATTTCATGGGTATTCAGAGAATGAAGAGTCATAGTTGCGAGCTAGGTGGTAAGAAAGTGGTTCATCAGCCGGGTGCTGTGGCTTATGCCTGTAATCCCGGCACTTTGGGAGACCGAGGTGGGTGGATCACCTGAGGTCAGGAGTTCAAGACCAGCCTGGCCTTGGAAAAACCCCATCTCTACTAAAAATAACAAAAATTAGGCCTAGTGACGGGTGCCTGTAATCCCAGCTACTGGAGAGGCTGAGGCAGGAGAATTGCTTGAACCCAAGAGGCAGAGGTTACAGTGAGCTGAGATCGCGCCACTGCACTCCAGCCTGGGCAACAGAGTAAGACTCTGTCTCAAAAATAAAAAAAAAAGAAAGTGATTCATGATAGTGATACTCTAGAGAAAGCACTTTAATTAAAGCCTCACAGAGGTTAGTTATCTCTTCAGGTGTTTCTTAGCTAGTTGCCATTACCCCTCATTCTCTTGGAGGGTTTACAGATCTACGGAAGTAATAACTACGGTACAGATGGTCCCAGCCTTAAGAAAATTCAAAATGCAAAGCAAGCCAATGCCCTGGAATACCTGAAAATGTGAAGCTTCAGCCTCCAGTTTACTTGGATGCTGGCCAGGAAGGCTTGGTGTGGTGCCTGTAGAAGTAAAAAGGGTATGCTTACTTAGACTTGTATGGCTTTATTTCTGGTCCAGGGATAGAGGCCTATATATAACTTCCTTTTCACTTGTATCTGGGATGACAGTATACTGAGGACTCTTATTTAGTGAGTGTTGTGGCATTAATAGTACACAATATCTTAACAATGTTTCACAGCTTGTGGGGTCTTCTCTGAGGTTCTGACCTTTGGAGAGGGGAGTGAATGAGACACAAATGCCCTTTAAGTAACACAGCTTAAATTATTGTTTTTGCCCTAAAATTTTTAAAAAAGAAAGAAAAGCAAAGCAGGGTTTGCAACTTGGATATTTAAAATTGTTATCTGTGATTTTTAGCTCTGGTTTGAAGAAAAGGCAGCTCATTTGGCATTCTTTTTGTTTTTAACTTTTAATTTTGAAATAATTTTAAATTTATAGATGAATTTCTAAAGTGGTGCAGAGTGTTCCTATATACTCTTCACGCAGCTTCCCCTAATATTAAGATCTTACATATAACCCTGGTGCATTTATCAAAACTAAGAGATTAATATTGGTATAATAGATTTGTTTACTTAGTAAACTTTTGTTTACTTGGAGTTTACTACTCCAGCTTTTATTTGAATTTTCTCGGTTTCTCCACACATTCTTTTTCTGTTCCAGGATCCAACTCAGGATTTCACATTGCATTTAGATTTAGCATGTTTTTAATGGTCAAATAAGTGAAGGAAAGGAATTGTGAATGCTTTGTGATTGAAGACTTGTGAAACTGACTTTACAAAGAACAGATTCTGTAAGGAAATATTCAGAGAATGCCAGAGAGAAGGAAGAAAATGGAAAATAAAGTGTTGTATACACTGGAATATAGTGAACAAACTTCAGATAACATTTTCCATTTGTGGTGGGTAACAGTTTCTGAAGTTCTGGAATTTAGTTTGTAGAGTGTCTTATGCATACCAATTCATGAAATAGGTGTAGACATGAATTGCCATCGGACATGAGTTTTAACCATTTTAGATAAGGTGGCCTATCAGGAACTAAGTTTGGCAGCTGGCGAGATGCTTAACAGTAATGACTTAACTTGAAGAAGATGTCTGTTGGAGGAAGGCAGGCCGGTCCTGTTAGAGTCATCAGGGAACCAGGCCTCTTCTGTGTTTGTGTTCTGCTGTCTTTTAGCAGGTGGTTTCTATATTCACCATAGCTCCATGATCACAGAATGGCTGTAGGAACTCCAGCCATCATGTCTGTCAGACAAGAAAGGGAAACAG